>NC_000003.12:131735877-131887392 GCF_000001405.40 Homo sapiens | reverse complement strand
ACCTGAGACTGGGCAATTTACAAAAGAAAGAGGTTTAATTGGACTTACAGTTCCACGTGGCTGGGGAAGCCTCACAATCATGGCAGAAGGCAAGGAGGAGCAAGTCACATCTTACATGGATGGTGGCAGGCAAAGAGAGAATGACGAAGACGCAAAAGCAGAAACCCTAGATAAAACCATCAGATCTTGTGAGACTTATTCACTACCATGAGAACAGTATGGGGGAAACTGTCCCCATGATTTAATTATCTCCCACTGGGTCCCTCCCACAACATGTGGGAATCATGAGAGTAAAATTCAAGATGAGATTTGGGTGGGGACACGGAGCCAAACAATATCATTCCACCCCTGGCCCCTGCCAAATCTCATGTCCTCACATTTCAAAACCAATCCTGCCTTCCCGACAGTCCCCCAAAGTCTTAACTCATTTCAGCATTAACTAAAAGTCCGTAGTCCAAAGTCTCACTGGAGACAAGGCATGTCCCTTCTGTCTATGAGCCTGTAAAATCAAAAGTAAGCTAGTTATTCCAAATATGATGGGGGTACAAACATTGGGTAAATACAGTTGTTTCAAGTGGGAGAAATTGGCCAAAACAAAGGGGCTACAGGGCTCATGTAAGTCCAAAATCCAGCAGGGCAGTCACATCTTAAAGCTCCAAAATGATCTGTTTTGACTCCATGTTACATCCAGGTCACACTGATGGAAGAGGTGGGTTCCCATGGTCTTGGGCAGCTCCACCCCTGTGGTTTTGCAGGGTACAGCCTCCCTCCCAGCTGCTTTCACAGGCTGGCACTGAGTGTCTGTGGCTTTTCCAGGTGCACAGTGCACTGTCAGTAGATCTACCATTCTGGGGTCTGGAGGACAGTGGCCCTCTTCTCACAGCTCCTCTGGCGATGCCCCAGTAGGGACTCTGTGTGGGGGCTATGACCCCACATTTCTCTTCTACATTGCCCTAGCAAAGGTTCCCCATGATAGCCCCACCCCTGCTGCAAACTTCTGCCTGGGCATCCAGGTGTTTCCGTACATCTTCTAAAATATAGGCAGAGGTTCCCAAACCTCATTTCTTGACTTCTGTGTACCTGCAGGCTCAACACCACGTGGAAGCTGCCAAGGCTTGGGGCTTGCACCACAGACTGTCTATATTTGAATTCCAAGCTCCACATTGGCCCCTTTCAGCCACGGCTGGAGCAGCTGGGACACAGGGCACGAAGTCCCTAGGCTGCACACGGCTCAGCTTGGGGACCCTGGGCCCAGCCCATGAAACCACTTCTTCCTCCTAGGCCTTCAGGCTGGTGATGGGAGGGGCTGCTGTGAAGATCTCTGACATGTCCTGGAGACATTTTTGCCACTGTCTTGGGGATTAACATTTGGCTCCTTGTTACTTATGCAAATTTCTGCAGCTGGCTTGAATTTCTCTTCAAAAAATGGGATTTTCTTTTCTATTGCATTGTCAGGTTGCAAATTTTTCAAACTTTTATGCTCTGTTTCCCTTTTAAAACTGAATTAATAGCACCTACGTCACCTTTTGAATGCTTTGCTGCTTAGAAATGAAATTGGAAATCATCATTCTCAGTAAACTATCGCAAGAACAAAAAACCAAACACCGCATATTCTCACTCATAGGTAGGAATTGAACAATGAGATCACATGGACACAGGAAGGGGAACATCACACTGTGGGGACTGTTGTGGGGTGGGGGGAGCAGGAGGGATAGCATTGGGAGATATACCTAATGCTAGATGACGAGTTAGTGGGTGCAGCACACCAGCATGGCAAATGTATACGTATGTAACTAACCTGCACAATGTGCACATGTACCCTAAAACTTAAAGTATAATAATAAAAAAATAAAAAAATTAAAAAAAATTTAAAATATGAAAAACAAAAAACAAAAAACACCATCCTTTGCCCACTGCAACAGGTGCTGTATTTGTCATAAATCAAATAATACTTGCATGGGTCTGCATCTATTAACCTATTATTACTATAATACTATACTATCTTAATTTTTATAACCTTAAAATAAATCTTAATATTCAACAGAAAAAAAAAAAAAGAAATTTCTCCCACCAGATACCCTAAATCATCTATCTCAAGTTCAAAGTTCCACAAATCTTTAGGACAAGGGCAAAATGCCACCAGTCTTTTTGCTAAAACATAACAGGAGTCACTTTTGTTCCAGTTCCCAACAAGTTCCTCATCTCCATTTGAGACCACCTCAGCCTGGACCTTATTGTTCCTATCACTATCAGCATTTTTGTCAAAGCCATTCAACAAGTCTCTAGAAAGTTCTAAACTTTCCCACATTTTCCTGTCTTCTTCTGAGCACTCCAAATTGTTCCAACCTCTGCCTGTTACCCAGTTCCAAAGTTGCTTCCATATTTTTGGGTATCTTTTCAGCAACACTCCACTCTTGGTACAAATTTACTATATTATTTCACTTTCACACTGCTGATAAAGACATACCAGAGACTGGGCAATTTACAAAAGAGAGAGATTTAATTGGACTTACAGTTCCATGTGGCTAGGGAAGCCTCAAAATTGTGGGAGAAGGCAAGGAGGAACAAGTCACATCTTACATGGATAGCAGCAGGCAAAGAGAGGAAAGGAATATGCAAAAGCGGAAACCCCTGATAAAACCATCAGATCTTGTGAGACATGTTCACCACCGTGAGAACAGTATGGAGGAAACTGCCCCCATGATTCATTTATCTCCCACCAGGTCCCTCCCACAACACGTGGGAATTATGGGAGTACCATTCAAGATGAGATTTGGGTGGGGACACAGAGCCAAACCATATCAGTTTCCAAGATCATATAGTCAATATGAGCGGAACCTGCTCTCTGAAACACTCTGACTTCAGATTTCAGATCCTGTGGTCACACTATGAGTCCTCTCCTGCTGGTGCCCACCATGCCTAGTTCTGCCCCCTTCCTAGAGACTAGTGTACCCATTGCTGTGGGAGACACCTACTTCTAAACAAGCATCTCCATCTCTGACATTTGGTCATTTCCTTGTCCACTCTCCATCTACTACTTGAGATTTTCCCAATTACATTTTACAACTCTAATAAATATTTCCTGCAATTCAATGGCCAGAAGCAGTTCATCCTGTAGATGAACCGTGATTTACCTACCAGTCCATAGTGGTGCACACATAAGTGATTCATTCTTTAACTCATTCAGTAAACATTTATTGAATTCCTATTATTTACCAGGCACTTTTCTAAGGGCTGAGGATACAGAAGGGAACAATACATGGTCCCAGCTTTTGTGCTAGTGGGTAGAATAGAAAATACACAATAAATGTGTAACACATTGGTAAACAATGGTAAGTGAAACAAAAATAAAGCAGGAAATGGGGTAGTGAATGATAGGGGGGCTTGTTTAAAAATTATGACCAAGAAAAACTTATCTGAGGAATATCTGCACAGAAATCTGAATGAGTAAGCAGTGAGCCATTTGTATATAAGGACAGAGTATTCCAACAGAATAAAGGGCAAAGGCCATGACACGGGCATGTGCTTAGCCTATTTAAGGAATAAAGTTTCAGTTATGCAAGATGAAAAAGTTGTAGAGATCTTCTGTGCAACATCATGCCTACAGTTAACAATACTGTATTGTGCATTTACAATTTTGTGAAGAGGGTAGATCTCAAGTGTTCTTACCACAATAATAAAGAAGGGCAGCAAGGAGGCAGGGAAGTTATGAGGCACTGGTATAAGAAAGCAAGAGTGAGAGAAAATGATCTCATAGAGGCAGCTATGGTTCAAATTATGTAGGGCTTTTTAGGCAATGGTAAGTGTTTGGGGTTTTATTCCATATGTAATGGGAGGCCATTGGAGGATGAAAGTACAACTGCTTGTGATAGATCGTGTGGAGAGACAAAAGTGCATGTTGGAGATGACTCAGGAGGCTACTGCATTTGTCCAGGTGAAAGCACTGGTAGTTTGGATCAGGTAATAGCCATGGAGAAGATAACAGTGGTTGAAAATGAGCTGAATTGTAAAAGCACACCCCATAGACTTTGCTAATGAATTGAAAGTAAGGTATGAGAGAAAATGAGGAGTCAAGAATCATTCCAGAGGGATGAGCAATTGGGTGAATGATGATGGGTAACACTGGGGGAGGGGCAGGTTGTTTCCAGATTGAGGTTGCATCAATAATTCTACCATGAACATGCTTCCAATGTTGAGAGACAATATGGAGTACTGGTACAGTGTAACTTCAGTCACAGACTGTCTATACTTTGAGTTCCAGCTCTATTATTTATAGGCTATAAGTTCTTGTAGAAGTAAATTACCTCCATTTTCTCATCTATTTAGGTTGGTGCAAAAATAATTGTGGTTTTTGCCATTGAAAGTAGAGCAGAACTGGCCTGGCATGGTGGCTCACGCCTGTAATCCCAGCACTTTGGGAGCCCGAGTCAGACGGATCATGAGGTCAGGAGATCGAGACCATCCTGGCTAACATGGTGAAACCCCATCTCTATTAAAAATACAAAAAAATTAGCCAGGTGTGGTGGCGGGTGCCTGTAGTCCCAGCTCCTCAGGAGGCTGAGGCAGGAGAATGGTGTGAACTCGGGAGGCAGAGCTTGCAGTGAGCTGAGATCGTGCCACTGCAGCCTGGGCAACAGAGCGAGACTCCGTCTCAAAAAAAAAAAAAAAATAGAGCAGAACTGCAATTACTTTTGTACCAAGCTAATAAATAATGAGAACAATAAAAGTACTTACATTGTAGAGTTGCTATAAGAATTTAATGCACAATAGTGTCTAACACCATTATATAGCTGTTAGGCATCAATATTATCATTTATATATTTAAGTGAAATATGATTGTTAGGAAGTGCTGGGTTAAAGGATATTCATATTGGGTAAGCTTTACAAATTACCCAACTGCCTATCTGGAACGATCATACCAATGTGTTACTACAAGAAATGCAAATAAGGCAGTTCTTTAAACAATATTTTAAATCTTTATAGTTTAATATTAGACTCAATGACTCTTGCCTCAGTCATACAATGAACACTTCCTTGGCTTGGCATGAGTTGAGCTCACTTAAATGATTCTAATTGCATTTGTATCTTTCTTCCAAAATTATCTTTATGTTAAGAAGTTTATTAATTATTTACATAATATAATATGACACATATAAAATACTAATATAATTAAACCATAACTTATTAACATATTATACAGTATGTGTGAGTTTGTGAGAGAGATGTAGGTTGTGTGTGTGTGTGTGTGTGTGTGTATTAGAACTGAAGAATGAATTGAAGCATCTCTAGGTTGTCAGTGTTAATTCTGAAGGATCGCTGTACTTGGTGCTGTGCCTTATTTAAAGAGAGGAAGAGAAATTGATTTAATAACCTGTCACATTATACAACACAAGAAGAACTTGAGAAGAAAAAGCACTCTGGTATTCTTAGTAGGAAGAAAAATATTGTGACAGCTCCATGGAGAAATCTTTGTGTGCAGAGAACTGGTAGAAATTATGGTGATGAGTTAAGGATGTTAGAAAATATATTGCTTTCATGGAATAAATTTGACCACTTCACCACAACTGCGGAAGGCTGTTTCCCTCTCTTACGTAAGGGGAGTAAGGAAATAGAAGCTCCAATTGTTTTTTCCCTTTTTCTCAGTTCTTAAAAACGATTCATTCTGCCATTTTCTCTGGAGATTTCTGAAATATTTTATTTAACTGAGGTGGTATAGAATAACAACAAAATATAATAATACGACAGACTTGTGGAGTTTAAGCAAAAGAGTTTAATACCTTAATGTTAAACTCTGGCATCCTGGAGAAGCCAGATTGTAGTTTAGTGAATAATAATATTAGAGAATTGTCAATACCTTCCAGCCAAAGACCACCAAGAACACACCTATAATTGAACAAGTTGGGTTTATTGCTCACTACCACGGGGAGAATACACCTCATGGGGAACTGTGAAATATCTTAGTCAAAGAGTTTAGGAAAGAACTTACAGAATTTGAGTTAGTGGTTTAGGGAAGGTTTAACAAAGGACAGCTTTATTCTGGATTAGAAGTTGTTGAGAGGCCAGGACAATTCTATGATTGAGTACCTTAATAAATCTTATCTAGAAGAAGGGGAGAATAGGCCAAGGCTAAAGCTAAAGGTATAATTGGTAAAGAAGCAGCAATCACTCATTTTAACCAGGATAGGGAGATGTTTGGTTATTGTTGTGTTTTGGACAGCGTTCAGGTTTTTGTCTGGCTCCAGCATGATTGTGGAACAGTCTGGTTTTTGTCTTTCTTCATCATGGGGATGGAGTGTCCTTGCCTTATGTTGATGTTCTGTGAACATTTTCTTTGTTTCACAGAAAACACTAAAGCTCAGCTGTGAGTACCGGGCCAATTTCAAGCAGTACAAGGCCAGGCTGATAGCACTAAGTCAGCTCCCAGATGGCAGAGGCTACTTTTTTCTTAGAGTGCAACCTAGAAATTAAGCTGTTATACTTCAAAAACATCTTCCTAACAATGGGCCAACTTGTTGGCTAAGCAAAGAAAAATCTATTATAACGCATCTTGTGTTCAAAGCAACCTATTTCTCAGCTCTCTTATCTAAAGAATGGTACTTAATGTTTGCAATGTACATGCATTCCATAAGTTTATTTTTCTCTTCAATTTAACCCCAAATCTGCCTTCTACTTTTTCTTTATCTCCCTGATCAGAGTTAGAGGTAAAATTCCCAGGAGCTCTTTTGAATACATTCAAGTCTCTGCTCATCTCTCCTACAGAAAGCTTTTAAAGAAGCCCTCTGAGTCTCAGACAGGGCATGAGTTTTCACAAGGGATCTGGCCAGGAGAATGTACCTCATCTTTAAAAAGGCAGTTGGATGGCTTCACTTCAGCTCCCACTTCATTGTGATTTGGGGAAAGTCATCATTTTCAATTTTGATAGCATCACCTGGTCACTGACATTCATTCAATAAATAGTTGTTAAATATCTACCATATGCCGCCGGGGGTGGTGGCTCACGCCTGTAATCCCAGCACTTTGGGAGGTCGGGCGGGCGTATCACGAGCTCAGGAGATCGAGATCATCCTGGCTAACATGGTGAAAACCCGTCTCTACTAAAAACACAAAAAATTAGCCGGGCGTGGTCGTGGGCGCCTGTAGTCCCAGCTACTTTGGAGGGTGAGGCAGGAGAATGGCGTGAACCCGGGAGGCGGAGCTTGCAGTGAGCCACTGCACTGCAGCCTGGGCAACAGAGTAAAACTCCGTCTCAAAAAAAAAAAATATGTATATATATATATACTATATGCCATGGACCGTCTTTGTCATGAGATATGAGAATGAACAGTTATGATCCCTGTCCTCATGAAGCTCCTATTCTAAAAGGGACACAGAGATGTATGAATCAATGTTTTTTTAAAGGTTTGGGTAGGGGATTCAGGGGAAAGCATATTCAACTTTACATTGGGAAGAGGAGCCCAGGAAATTTTTATAGAGAAGATATTACTTGAAGTAGATCTTTGGTAATGAGTCTGCCAGGTATATAAGGTAGAGAATAACACTGTCTAGAAAGGGAAAATTATGCTGTGTGCAAAGGTCTGACCTCAACAGGGGAATCCAATTCCCAATCTCCAAAGCTTGAAAATTCTAATGACAAATGGTTCTTAGTAGGACCTTATAAAGGGGTCATCATCTTCTTGGCTAGAGCTCTGCCTAAGCCATACACCCAGAAGATAATATCTCTTCTATTTTTAAAAGACCTTTTGAGAAGGGGAGTCTGTAGTCATCATAGGGGGCCGATGGGCTTTGAATTATGGAAACTTTTTAGCACAGATGGTGTTCAATAGCACTCAGTGGGGAGAGGAAGGGATGTTTCAGGAGGGGTGGGGGACAGTTTCTGAGGGTTTAATCCTTTGAATAAAGAATAACCCTGATACAGCCTTAAACCTGAATTAGATTGCTTATGTGCCAGCATTTTCCCATTAATTTATCATAGAAGATAGAGTATGTTAATGTCGAATAAATCAGCTGGCTTCTTTTACGTGTTGAGATTTTGGGGAAGGATAGAGAAGCTTAGGGAAAAAGTCATTAATGGAAACACACTTACATTAGTTGCATGATTTCAGCCTTGTTATGTATATCCTTATTCATATATCTCCCATAGAGTTCCATGCTCATTTCATTCACTTTAATCACAGTTTTGTCTCTTAGACAATCTCATACACTCCATGTGATTTTTACTCACTGACAAACTAACAAACACTCTGAGTATGTCTCTTTCTAGCACGCACACACACACACCCTTATGCACTTTTAGATTCAGTTCACTAATAGTTAAGTTAGTAGGCTTACCAAATGAAACAGACGCACGATATCAATGCAATAGGAGACAGCGTCAGTTGTACTTTCAATGGAATGTTCCAAACTAAACAAATCAATTTCTTAGAAGTTATTTATTCAAATACTAAGGGTAGGGCAAGGTAAGTGTCATGAGGGTGAGACCTTTGTCATTGAATCTCCAGAACCTAGAACAAGGCCTGGCACCTGATTGGCACTAAATATTTCATTGCATGAGTGAATGAGGTTCCTTCTTGCTGTATTTGATTGTTTGGAAGGTCTGTATATAGAGATAAGCGCATACCCCATCTAGTTGTAGCATATCTATTCTTAATGGAATATCTTATTTCCTTATAGCAAACGGGTTAAGAATGTCTTCTTGTTATTTGAATCATCTAATCAGCATGAGATTTTGCCCAAGTCTTTCTTTGGAGGAATGTCCTCTGATAAATTTTTCAGATTAATTATTTTTATTTTATAAATCCTAACTGTATAGCTAAATAAATTTCCAGAAAATGAACACACCTGTAAAACCAGCATCCAGATTAAGAAACAGAACATCAACAGCGCTTCCAAAATTCCTCTTTTGCCTCTTCTGTTTACTGCCCCTCATTCTGTGCCAGGAGTAACCACTCTTCTGACTCCTATCAATGCAGATTATTTTTTATTATCTTTGACTTTTATGCAAATATATATCATACCGCATGTGCTCTTTAGTGTCTGGCTTCTTTCATCTAACACTATATTTGCGAGATTCATGGCATTGCATGTAGTCATTCGTTCATTATCATTGCTGTATGCTGTTCCATTGTATGGCTAATACCACAATTGATTTATCTATCCTACTGCTGATGAACATAGGGGTTGCTTCCAGTTTAGGGCTATTAAGAATTATTCTGCTATAAACATTCTTGTAGATCATTTCAATGAGCATATGGATACATTTCTTTTGGATAAATACCTAGGAATGTGATAGGCGAGACTATGTTTAGCTTTAGTAGAGATTTTCAAACAGTTTTCTACAAGGTTTGTACCAATATGCACTCTCAGCAGTAGCATGTAGGAGTTCTGATTGCTCCACATCTTCCCCAACATTTTATATTGCCTGTCTTTTTCATCTTAGCCATCCTGGTGAATATGTAGTAGTGTCTCAATGGGATTTTAATCTGCATACCTTTTATGAATAAGAAGATGGACAGTTTTATATATTTGCTGGGTATATGGGTGTCCTATTTTGTGACATACCTCTGTGTAATAAATGTTTCATTTAAAGACCAGTTGCATGTCCATTTTGTATATGTGTCCCCAACCTCAGCAGTCATTGTCCTTTTAACCTGTTTTCAATTTACTCCTACAGTCATTATCATAATAGTAGCCAGTGGCCTATTAATTCTCAGCTATTATAGTCATATTTTTTTCATTACTATGTATTGTGGAGCTTTATACTGTTACAATTATTACTTATATTATTAGTGATATCTTTTTATTCAAAATACTATTCTTGACTCATTTTTATTATAATCATCATCCATTATGTCATAGGCTTCATAGCAATCAACATTGCATCCCTGTACCCGCTAAGAATATTTTCAGCTACGAGTATCAGAAAACTAGGCTAGAGGATCTTAAACAAATAGGGTTTTTCACATGTAACAAGAAGTTTCTGGTTTGCGTCAGCTGCTCCATATCACCACCAGGAGCCCAGATTCTTTCTTACCTTTTTTCTCCCCTCCCTAGAGAGCTTTCTGCATTTTTGTGTTCATGGTTGTTGCCCCCTGGACACAGAATTTGACAGAATTGCCAAATGTATCGACATTTTAGGCAGGAAAAATTGTAACGGGCAGAAGGCTGTATCATCCATGTCTGGAATCCTTTTTTAAAGGACAAAATTTTGTCCCTACAACACTGCTCAGTTGATTTCTGCTTATATCTCAATGGCCATTTAATGGCCAGTGTGTCACTGGTTACTACTAGATGCAAAAGAGGATGGAAAACTAATCATTAGCTTTGAAACTCCTAAAGCAGAGGAAGGCAAGGGAGAAGGATGCCGGTTTGGTGTCAAGAAAAAAAAAAAAGTACATTATTTGCTGTAGATTGTTAGAGAAAAGAAACTACAAACAGCAAGCAGAATCAACTCATTTTTAGCCTTGGGGAAAATAGCACTAGAATGGTTTTGGAAAAATAGATAATTCCCTGTGCTGGTGCTGGTGCATCTTCTACATGGTACTCACTGTGATTTAGGGAGCATTTGCTGTGTGATTCCTAGCAGGTCTTCTGGTTAGTGATGTACTCACACTTCATTAGGCCCTGCCACCTTTTGTCAGTTACTACATAGATTAACCTTTAGCAAAATTGGTGATAACACACACACATGTGCACACACTCAATGAAACAGAGAAAAAGAATGTCTCTTTCTTTCTTTCTTTTTTTTTTTTTTTGAGACGGAGTCTTGCTCTGTCGCCCAGGCTGGAGTGCAATGGTGCGATCTTGGCTCACTGCAAGCTCCGCCTCCCGGGTTCACGCCATTCTCCTGCCTCACCCTCCCGAGTAGCTGGGACTACAGGCGCCCGCCACCACATCTGGCTAATCTTTTCTATTTTTAGTAGAGATGGGGTTTCACCGTGTTAGCCAGGATGGTCTCGATCTCCTGACCTCGTGATCTGCCTGCCTCGGCTTCCCAAAGTGCTGGGATTACAGGCGTGAGCCACCACGCCCGGCCGAGAAAAAGAATGTCTCATAATAATAAAACATTCTCACAAAAAATAAAGAGCATGCCTTTCATTTGGTTGTATTCGTATTTATTTATTTATTTATTTATTTATTTATTTATTTATTTATTTTGAGACCGAGTCTTGCTCTGTTGCCCAGACTGGAGTGCAGGGGTGCCATCTCGGCTCACTGTAACCTCCGCCTCCTGGGTTCAAGCGATTCTCGTGCCTCAGTCTTCTGAGTAGCTGGGACTACAGGCGTGTGCCACCACACCTGACCTTGTAGTTTTTTTATAAACTAGATAAATATTATGTGTTTTTGTTATTGGTAAATATGGGAACTTCTTTACCTCTAGAAAGATGGCTCATTTCTATTTTAACTGCACTGAGTATTTACAATGAAAATTCCAACCAACAAAAACCTAAGAAACTGTTTAAGTTTGTAAAAGCCCTATGAAATTTCTAATGACAAATGGCAAATTGGTTTCTTAAACAGATTGTCTTTGTACAACACCCCAAAGATTTAGTCTTTTTTTTATTATACTTTAAGTTTTAGGGTACATGTGCACAACATGCAGGTTTGTTACATATGTATACATGTGCCATGTTGGTGTGCTGCTGCACCCATTCACTCGTCATTTAACATTAGGTATATCTCCTAATGCTATCCCTCCCCCCTCCCCCCACCCCAGGACAGGCCTGGGTGTGTGATGTTCCCCTTCTTGTGTCCATGTGTTCACATTGTTCAATTCCCACCTATGAGTGAGAACATGCGGTGTTTGGTTTTTTGTCCTTGCGATAGTTTGCTGAGAATGATGGTTTCCAGCTTCATCCATGTCCCTACAAAGGACATGAACTCATCATTTTTTATGGCTGCATAGTATTCCATGGTGTATATGTGCCACATTTTCTTAATCCAGTCTATCATTGTTGGACATTTGGGTTGGTTCCAAGTCTTTGCTATTGTGAACAGTGCCACAATAAACATACATGTGCATGTGTCTTTATAGCAGCATGTTTTGTTTTATAATCCTTTGAGTATATACCCAGTAATGGGATGGCTGGGTCAAATGGAATTTCTAGTTCTAGATCCCTGAGGAATCGCCACACTGACTTCCACAATGGTTGAAAGATTTAGTCTTTTTTTTTTAAGTGATAATGTATCTATTTAGTGCCTTCTGTGACAAATGCCTCATGCTATAAAGAAAACTCATGGATTTCAGAGTTTAAAATTTAAAGATGAAATCCCAGATATTTTACTTACACATTGAGTGGGGCTAGGGAAGTTGCTCAGTATCTCAGCCTACAGATCTCTGGTTTGTACAACAGGAGTATTGCCTATTTCATAGATTTATTGTGACAATTAAAGGGTATCATGTTATCAAATCTCCTTAGTCAAGGCCAGATTGCAAAGGCTTTAAATGTCAGTGTAGAGATCTTACATTCTGTGGAGATTTGGGGTCTGAGATGTAGATAGGTATGTGAGAAATATTCATCAATTATATACACGTGATTTTCCTTTTTTAATGTTTAATTTGACTTTAAGCCACAGTTTTTTCCAACGTTTCCCATTGTCACAAGGAACTCCAGATGTGAATGTTTAAATTTCATTTTTTTACCATGAAGTTGTAATTAAATGATTTCAGTGAAACAGGTTTTTAAATGAAGTGAATATATTAAATATAACAATGAATATGAAGTAGCATCATTTTATTTTAAATTCAGCCCAATTTATCTGCAGAATGTTCAGATACATAAATTCATTTAATCTCTACAGCAAAGTTGTGAAGTCAGTGGTGTTACCTTCATTTCTAGTAAAGAAACCAAAACTTAGAGACCTTGTGATTTTACCAGGGTCATACAACCAACAGAGAGAGTTTTCAGGCCTGGGCTGTATCTCATTCCCCATTTTTATTCCTCGTGTTTGGCCCAGTGCCTGGTATGTGGTAGGTGCTCACTAAATATTTGTCAAAGAAACAACTGAGGCCAGGCGCGGTGGCTCACGCCTGTAATCCCAGCACTTTGGGAGGCCGAGGCGGGCGAATCATAAGGTCAGGAGATTGAAACCATCCTGGCTAACATGGTGCAACCCCGTCTCTACTGAAAATACAAAAAATTAGCTGGGCGTGGTGGAGGGCGCCTGTAGTCTCA
The DNA here is from genome assembly GCF_000001405.40 of Homo sapiens. Lineage (NCBI taxonomy): Eukaryota > Metazoa > Chordata > Mammalia > Primates > Hominidae > Homo > Homo sapiens. The sequence goes on along the minus strand of NC_000003.12, from coordinate 131,874,220 downwards.
GCTACTCGGGGGGCTGAGGCAGGAGAATGGCGTGAACCCGGGAGGCGGAGCTTGCAGTGAGCCGAGATTGCGCCACTGCACTCCAGCCTGGGCGACAGAGCGAAATTCCGTCTCAAAAAAAAAAAAGAAAAGAAACAACTGAATGAAGGAATAAGTAAATCTCAGACCCCAAGGCACTGAAATAGTTTTAAAATTGAGATGAAATGTTCAAATGGCACATTCCACATTGAACAAACACTTTACTGTGGAGGTTGAATCATAGATAGACAAAAATTATTTGGAGGTGGAGGGGAAGGTTATCTAGTTTTCCACTCCTCTTCCCACAGCTGTTCTCTCAGGAATGGCCTGAGAAAGGAGACAAGAGGACAGGTAGTGAAAGAGGAAGCCAAGGAGCCAGGGAGAAGGTACACAGGATGTACTACCACTTTCCCGCTGTCCTGGGGCTCAATGCATCTCTTATCACACTGTGAGAGTGATAAGGTCCATTTATGGGTCAGTCATCCTTCTAGAGAGTGGACTTCTCAGGGGCAGGGACTGGGCATTAGTCATTACTGAATTTTCAGCACATATCCTGGAAGTCAGGGTTTCATAGATATTTGTGAACATGAACTAGGCAAAAAGATGTGCTAAACGAAGTGTTTCTCATACGACAGAATTTTATCTTCTCTAAATAAAGTCTCAAGAACACCAGATGCCTCAGAGTGGTCTCAAGATCTAGTTATAGAGCCAGTGGGGTAGAGCTTGATCTCAAAGATCAGAATATTCAGATAAGTAATCAAATCTAAGAAGAGGGAGGGAAGTAATTCAGGTTTCTCTGGCCAAATCTCAGAGCCCAGCTTTGCCACAGTAATAATTTCCATCCCCACCATATCAATCAGGGTCTAGTCAGAAGAAAGAAACCACACATTATTTTAAGAGAGATAATTTAATATAAAGAATCATTCACTAGGAATTAAGGATGTGAAAAGGCAAATAAGAGCAACTCCAGAAAGCACTGTTCACCCTTGGGACTGGGAAAACAAAGAGAAAAGGTTGAGATGGCATGGTCCTAGCCATCTGAGAATTCCCAATCTTGCAATAGTTAAAGTAAATGGAATGATGACATAGTGTGATAAGAGCTATCTTTTCATTAAAAGTTGATATGTAGGACCATGTAAGATGGTATCACTATTTATTTTCTATTACCGTGCAAAACTTTACCTCAAACCTTAGCGGCCTGAAGCAAGAAAAATCATGTATTATTGCTCACATTTTCTGTGGGTGAAGAATTAAGACAGGGCACATAAAGGTTAGTTTGTCTACATGATATCTGGAGTCTTTGCTAGAAAATTTGAAGGCTGAGGGACGAAATTATTGGAAGGGTCATTCACTCACATGTGTGACATATTAACTGGGGGCCTAGCTAAAGGTGTTTCCCAGAATATCTTGACATGGCCTTTTCATATGGCCTGAACTTCCTCACAACATGGTGTTTGGGTTCCCAAGTCAATTATCCCGAGAGATAAAGAGAGAGACAGAGAGAACCAGACAGAAGTCATACTGCTTTTTATACTTAGTCTTACGTGATGTTCAATTTTATGTGTCAACTTGACTAGGTCACAGGGTGACTGATTATTTCTAGAAGAGTATTTTTGGATGAGATTAACATTTAAGTTGGTAGACTGAGTAAAGCAGACTGCCCTTCCTAAAGTGGGTGGACCTTATCCAACAGCTGAAGTTCTGAGTAGAACAAACAGGCTGACCCTCACCCAGGTAAAAGAGAATTTCTCCTGCCTAACTGCCTTCAAACTGGGACATAAGCTTTATCCTGCCTTTGGACTTGAACTGAAACATTGAGTCCTCCTGGTTCTTGGACCAGCTGGTCGTCAGACTGAACCTATACCATTGGCTCTCCTGGGTCTCTAGCTTCACTGACTCACCCTTGCAAATCTTGTGAACTGCCAGTCTCCATAATCATGTGAGCTAATTCCTTATAATAAATCTCTCTCTCTCTCCTTCTTTCTCTCTGTTTCTCTCTCTCTCTCTACACACACACACACGCACACACATGCATACACACGCATACATCCTATTGATTCTGTTTCTCTGGAAAACCCCGACAAATACATCTGAGAGGTCATGCACTTCTGTCACACTGTTGTTTGAGGCAGTTACAAAGGTCCACCCAGGTCAAGGTAGGGGAACAAGGATCTCATCTCTTGATGGAGACGTGTCAGTGTCATGGTATAAGAAGGATATGTGGGGCAGGATATATCTTGGTGTAGCCATCTTTGGAAAATGTAATCTACCACAGCATCTTACTTAGCCTGGGCTGGTATGGGGTTCATAGAGGCGATAGTGTTCCTGCTGGATTCTGAATGCCCAGGAGGAGCTGGTCAATGAAAAAGAGAAGATAATTTCAGGTACAAGGTAAAGTCAGTCATAGTTCCAGAGGTAATAGGTGGATTTATATCTAGAAGATTACCAGTAGCTCATTATGTTTGGTTTTCTCGAATGTTAAGGGTCTGAACTTACCACATCCTTATTTTTTCCACAAGAAAACCGAAGTTGGTATCGGTCAGACTGAAGATATTACTGTTGAGAGAAATGAGGGTATGTTATTTTGAGACTAGTTCACCCACTGTTCTCCTACTTCCTGCTCTATCTGGACCCACAGAAAATGTTGATACACTTCATTCCCCAATGAAGCAGGATAGCGCATGCTTCCAGGGTGTGAGCATAAAAAGCTGAGGAAAAAGATGTTAAGATGTCAGCAACTCTGCTCAGCTAGCTGTTTTCAGCATTCTGAAGAGCATTCTCGGTGCTGAAATCTGATAAGACAGCCCTATTCTTAAAGATCTCCAAGAAGACTCCTCAGTCATCCTTAGAATATCTTATTTCAATTTCCAGCAACTCTTCTTATCAGGGCAAATCCCACTGATTCTTATCTTTTAACCAAGATTACCTTCCAGGGCACAGGAAGTCATTCTCCTGTTCCATCTTCAGTTGATGGAATTGTAAGACCGTTGGCCACCATCAGCTTGGAAGAGATAGTCATAAATGTTTTTCTGTTTCTAGTTCTTTCTCCTTTACCCTTCTTATTTCATCCAGGGATTACTTTATACCTCTGCAATGTGTTTTCTTCATTCATTCCTTCATATCTCTTTTCCCCCTACTCTGAACTCTTGGAACTTTCTCCATGGACTACTAAAGTGGCTTAATAACTGGTTTCCCAAACTATTGTCTTTCCCCACCCCTTATCACACTAAACATCAGTAGGACCTCTTCATGGAGGATGTTCAACAAAAGCTTGTGTTCACCTAGAAGACAATTATTGAATTACCTTCCAGCCTTCTCTTCTTCAGGCTGAGTAATCTTACTATCCACTCCCCCACCAGACAGTGGCTCTATGTGCGTCTCTAATGTGGCTTAGTGTGCTATCTGCTATCCTGAGTCTAATGAATTCCAAATAGAAACCTTCTGGTAGCACCATCATTAATTAGCATCCTTTCTCAGAACATCTAAAAGAAGCTGGTTTCGGGGGAACAATATGTCCCAACAAAACTAATGAAGTTTGGAAGTTGGCTGTTTATAAAAGAAGGAGGGGAAGAGGAGGGGGAGAAAAGAAAAGGAGGAAGGAGAAGGGGAGAAAGAAGTGGTGTAGCCCTGCTGTGTACTTGTTCATGCAGAGTTTATTGGACTTTTCTCCTTGACTTCCTTTCCCTGTTCTTTGATCCCCTCACCCACTAACTTCTTGTCCTCTCACCTCAAAATTGTAACCACTTGTCTTTTAATGACCACATTGTGCCCTCTTTGTGCCTGATTATTAGCAGCTAAAGCCCTCATATCGTAAATCTGTGTAAGTATGGCTTCTGTCGACAAGACCGGTTGCTCCTTGAGGGTAGGAACCATATCTTAGTCATCCTTTTAACTCTAAAATTTTAGCACAGTGTGTGGCAAAAATTAGATGCTGAGTGAATATTTCATAACTGAGTGGATAAACAAATTATTAATAAGTGGAAGTGTTTTGCCTGTTTTGGGTAAGGCAGCCATGTGAGCCCTAGGATTGTATCCTGTTGTGATTCCACTAAGAGGCTCCTGGAAAGTTGCCCATGCTGTGTGTTCTTCTGAGGTCCCTCTTTTTATCATCCCCAAGTCATAGCTTAGCTGTCATTTCCTTGAGGAACCTTCCCTATCTACCCACAACAAAATGTTGCTCTTCCTTCCTTCTTAACAAAATTAAGGAACCCTAAATATGTTCCCTTGTATGTCTCATGTTGTAGACAATGGCATATTTTACTCTTTAATTATTAATTATCTGTATTCACCTTCAAGCTACAGGCCCCATGAGAGAAAGGCCTATTGTATTATGCTTTTGTGGTACTTACAGTGCCAAACAGACAGCCTGGTATGTTGTTGGCTTTCAAAACATAAATGAAAATATGTATGAATGATTAATAAAAGCAGGATTCTTTCCTATGAGTCTTAGTCTTCTCTCTCCTCTTTTTCTCCGAACATACAACTGTAATCATCTATGTAGTTATGATTGTGCTGTGAAAAAATAAAGTCAAAATAAAATACAAAACATATAATGCATTGTTCAAAAACTCAGCAGCATCTTTTATTTATGATTTTATCTAAAAATGTTCCATTATTATAAAATATGTAGAAGTGAGGGATACATGGCTGGCAGGTTTTTCTTAAGTTATGAAAAGCTGAGCTAACTAATGGGCTTCAGCCATCTCTGCTGTTCATAGTGAATGGGCTATCACAGCTGTTTTGAGCATCATAGGTGCCATTCATATACTAAGATAATAGTATTACTGTTAGAAATATTGAAGAGTTTTATCTACAAGAGAAAAAAATTAATAGTCCTAATAAAATCCTGAAATATTATTTCTATTCTTTATGCTTCAGCTGCTAAGGGCTGTCAGAGCACAACACTACAAGCTAAGCCAACAATGTGGAGTCTGGGGGCTCACTCAGCACAGTGAGAAGCAAGGTTGAGTTCCCCATCCCTTCATTTTCTGGAAGTGATAAGATTTGTCCAGGTGTTTAAAAAAATGAAAACAGACAAAAACCAAAAGAACTAGAGCTGATATGGAGGGGTTGAGAGAATGGGGTGTGGGAGGAGAAATAAGGACTTCTTTTTCTATTTCCTAAAAAATTCCCCTTGAAGTCTTGGCTTATTTCTTAAAGGCTTTGAAATGCACCTCACAGCAACCTTGGTAACGTGGTACTTTTTGATCATTTGCCTAACATTTCTGATACTGCATTCTGATTTCCTCCTAGTTCTTACTTAGATACTTTGGGGAGAATATGAGTCCTTTACAGAGGTGGTGTCCAATATCTACTCAATTCTAAAGAGACGGTCGTTCACTCTAATTTGTCATAGGAATGTTTTTCTATGTGGAGGACAACATGAGCTACTCCTGCGATGTTCTAATCACTGATGGATGTTCCATTAGGGTTTGTCTTTCAGCTTACACCTGCCAATGGTTACTATTATCTATTTAGAGAGAAGTAGGAAGTGTGTTGGGCTTAGGTGTCAGAAGTGCCCTATGTTCAAATTTTAGCCCCATTGAAATTTTCAGCAAATTATTAAATCTGTAAAATAAAAGTAATAATTTCTATAATTGTGTCAGTTAGAATTTATTTGGGCTGCAAGTGAAGTAAATAAAAGCATTAGTTATTGAAACCAAACATAAATTTATTTTTTTCACATATTAAAGAATTCCAGAGCCTGCTAAAGCAGATGCATGGAGTCACTAGGAATCAAGGTTCTTTATCCTTTTGCTTCGCCATTCTCCACGTGCAGTTCTACCCTGTGGTTCAAGATCTACATGAGCTCCACGTGTCAGTCTGCATTTCAGCCAGAAAGAAAAAGGAAGGAGGAAAGATATGCATGCCTGCCTCTCTTTAAGGGCCTTTCTGAAAATTGTAACGGTGCTTCTGCCAGAACGTAGAGAGGTGTCACGCCTAACTGTGGTAGGGGGCTGGGAAAGATAGGCTTTACTTCAGGTGGCCATGGGTCAAGATAAAAAATGAGGGACCTATTTAAGACAAAAGAAATGACATCAGGGGACAATTAACAAATCTTTGCTACCTCCATCATCTGAATATTGTGACTATCAAGTGAGAAGATTTATACAAATAAACTTTACAAGTTGTTAAATCCTGTATTTTTGGCAGTTTTCATTATTAGAATATCATTACTACTATATTTTATGGGTAGAAATGCAGAAAAATTAAAGATTGAAGGAACTAGGGTTGTCCATTTCTCAAACAGCAATTATTAGGTAAAGTGTCATTCTGGTGAGTTATTGTTGAGATCTGTCTTATGAAGGATTATTGTGAGGAAAACACATCATTCATTATCCATCAACGTAGAGGATGAAGAGGACCAAGAGAGAGATGGTTCATCTCTTTCATTTTACAGATGAGGAAATGCGGTCAAAAGAGAGGATGTTATTTTTCCAAGGCTGTAAAATTGGTTAGTGGCAGAACCAGAATTAAAACTCAGCACCCTTGGCAGAATATTCAATATCCTGTCCATTGCATGTGCCCTACCTCCCTCAAATAAAAATTATAGTATGAGGGATAATTAAACTATCAAAGGCAGTTGTGGTAGGAAAGTTACTAGCATTTTCTGAGAACACAAGGGACTGGCATTTGCATGGAGGGCTGGACGAATTGACCTCTCAAGGAGACCCCCCACCCGCATGCCTTCCTTCAGGACTGGAGTTAAAATTCACAGTGGCTCATTCAACATTGCCTCTGTGTCCTTTCCTTCTTAATCATAGAATTAATATTGGCCACTCTTTGGCTATACCTTGATTTAATTCTTATCTAATTCTTAAAATCTGTTTAACTTTTTGTTCATTCTTTGTTTGCTGCATTCTGGATCCAGGGTTCTCACTTTATCACCTCCTGATGTTTTTTGTCAACTTAGCTTTTCTGACCTGCTCCGAACAGCTGTGCCCCAAAGAGCGGGTGAGGGAAGGCAGTTCCTCCTGTGTGTCACAGCCCTCTTTACACCTCTTTCCCCACATTAGGGAAACCTATTTCTATCTTCAAAATGTAACCTTTAACTTCTTTTATGAACACTGGCAACAAACTTTTAACACACTTGCAGCCCCACCAGCTGCCTTTTTGACTTCTCACCTGAATTTCTAAGGACTGCTGCTCACTAGTAGTTGCAGTCTTTGTGTTTTATGCTTGGTGTTTTGTTTTAATGCCAGGTGGTGTCTTATTCCTGTTTTGGCCTTTTCTCTGTTATTCTCTTCTGTGCCCTCTTTAATTTAAGATGACTTTGATTCTTTGTCCCAGCAACGTGTTCTCTGTTGTGTCAGGTTGTATGCCTTTGTCTTTCCTTAATCTCCTCTGGCAGACTTTATTAATTCGCGTAATTTTGCTGTGCTAAGTGAGAAATAGTCACTTTACACAACAGCAATTACCTTATGAATCTTCCCTGTTTCCATGTTATCTGATCTTTTTACATGTCACTTATTTTTCTTTTGAACCTGGATTCTTCAGCCTGAGTTTATGTAGCAGAAATTTCTAGTGCCTACCCGATTCCATTGTTTATTTTTTCACTGAAAGAATTCTGCATTGAGGGCATATGAGAGAGAGGCAGTAGTATTCAGCTGTAAAATTACAGTTTTCAGCCTCCCTTGAATCTAGGGCTGGCCATGCAATGGTGCTCTTACCAGTAAGATGTCAAACAAGCCTGAGCAAACCTGAGCAGGGGATTCCTGAAAAAGTTTGGCTTCCCATAGATGTCAGCCTTTTCTTCTTGCTCCTTTCTCATTCCTCCTCTCTGGAACTGGGCACAAGGAATGAAGCTGCCACTGTCATTTTTCAACCATGAAAAAGGCCCAGAGGATCCCGGAGGCCTCAGCCCTAGCATTGTGGTACACTAAACGAATGCCAATAACTTCCTTGCTCCGGAATTCCTGTTAAAAGAAAAAGCCTGTGATGAGTTTGCATCACTGTTGTGGAGACTCTCTCACTCTCAGCTGATTGCAATTCCTAACTGATCAGATTATAACTAAATAAGTTCAGCCTTTATTTTGGGCACTGTGATGTGCCATCCAGATCCTGTATGTGGAAGAATTTGTTGCCTTAGTCTTCGGCAGTATTCTCAGCAGACAATCTTCAGCTGTTAGTCCTTTCAGGGATTACCTCAGCTCCAGAGAGCCTCCTTACCCAAAGTCATGCACCTTCCTGGAGTGGCCCACAAGCAATAAATGATGTGTGAGCCTGTAAAGGCCTGGCCATATTGGCCCAACTTGGGACAATGCCAAAGGTCTATTTACAGCTCCCCATAGAAGTGTCAGTGGCTTGTCACTGGGCCTACATCACAGCTTAACTTTTCCCTCTGCCCACTCCTGATTTCTATTCTTCCCATCCACAGGTACTGGTCTCAAAGGCACACCTTAATAAATACCTATGTACTAGGATCTCTCTCCAGGTCTGCTTCTTGGAGAGCCCAACTTGTACACGTGCTAAATTGCTTTTCAGTCTACAGATGTGTATGGCATGCTACTCAATACCAGGCTGTCTGCTATGCCTTGTTTGTTGGTGGTGGAGGTCAGAAGCACAAAGATGGATAAGATGCAGCCCATATTCAGAAGTAGCTTTAGTGGAGGAGCCAGGCACATAAACAAATAATTATCTTGTAGGGTGATGGCTCCCTTATAGGGGTGATTATATGGGAATATATGGGACAGGTTGAAAAACCACCTGCAACTCACAGAGAAGGCCTTATAAAGAATGCGAGATTTGGGAGGGGTCTTTAAGAATATGATGGTGTTTACCACAAAAAGTAGGAGGTGAAGGGCATTTTTAAAAGGACTAATATGCATTACAAATATAAGAGCTTATTACCAACCAAAAAAATTCTAGGACCAGATGGATTCACAGCCGAATTCTACCAGAGGTACAAGGAGGAGCTGGTACCATTCCTTCTGAAACTATTCCAATCAATAGAAAAAGAGGGAATCCTCCTTAACTCATTTTATGAGGCCAGCATTATCCTGATACCAAAGCCTGGCAGAGACACAACAAAAAAAAGGGAATTTTAGACCAGTATCACTGATGAACATCGAAGCAAAAATCCTCAATAAAATACTGGCAAACCAAATCCAGCAGCACATCGAAAAGCTTATCCACCATGATCAAGTGGGCTTCATCCCTGGGATGCAAGGCTGGTTCAACATACACAAATCAATAAACACAATCCAGCATATAAATGGAACCAACGACGAAAACCACGATTATCTCAATAGATGCAGAAAAGGCCTTTGACAAAATTCAACAACCCTTCGTGCTAAAAACTCTCGATAAATTAGGTATTGATGGGACGTATCTCAAAATAATAAGAGCTATTTATGACAAACCCACAGCCAATATCCTACTGAATGGGCAAAAACTGGAAGCATTCCCTTTGAAAACTGGCACAAGACAGGGATGCCCCCTCTCACCACTCCTATTCAACATAGTGTTGCAAGTTCTGGCCAGGGCAATCAAGCAGGAGAAGGAAATAAAGGGTATTCAGTTAGGAAAAGAGGAAGTCAAATTGTCCCTGTTTGCAGATGGCATGACTGTATATCTAGAAAACCCCATCATCTCAGCCCAAAATCTCCTTAAGCTGATAAGCAACTTCAGCAAAGTCTCAGGATACAAAATCAATGTGCAAAATTCACAAGCATTCTTATACACCAATAACAGACAAACAGAGAGCCAAATCATGAGTGAACTCCCATTCACAATTGCTTCAAAGAAAAAAAAATAACTAGGAATCCAACTTACAAGGAACATGAAGGACCTCTTCAAGGAGAACTACAAACCACTGCTCAATGAAATAAAAGAGGATACAAAGAAATGGAAGAACATTCCATGATCATGGGTAGGAAGAATCAATATCGTGAAAATGGCCATACTGCCTAAGGTAATTTATAGATTCAATGCCATCCCCATCAAGCTACCAATGACTTTCTTCACAGAATTGGAAAAAACTACTTTAAAGTTCATATGGAACCAAAAAAGAGCCCGCATTGCCAAGTCAAGCCTAAGCCAAAAGAACAAAGCTGGAGGCATCACGCTACCTGACTTCAAACTATACTACAAGGCTACAGTAACCAAAACAGCATGGTACTGGTACCAAAACAGAGATATAGACCAATGGAACAGAACAGAGCCCTCAGAAATAATGCCGCATATCTACAACTATCTGATCTTTGACAAACCTGACAAAAACAAGAAATGAGGAAAGGATTCCCTATTTAATAAATGGTGCTGGGAAAACTGGCTAGCTATATGTAGAAAGCTGAAACTGGATCCCTTCCTTACACCTTATACAAAAATTAATTCAAGATGGATTAAAGACTTAAATGTCAGACCTAAAACCATAAAAAGCCTAGAAGAAAACTTAGGCAATACCATTCAGGACATAGGCATGGGCAAGGACTTCATGTCTAAAACACCAAAAGCAATGGCAACAAAAGCCAAAATTGACAAATGGGATCTAATTAAACTAAAGAGCTTCTGCACAGCAAAAGAAACTATCATCAGAGTGAACAGGCAACCTACAAAATAGGAGAAAATTTTCACAACCTACTCATCTGACAAAGGGCTAATATCCAGAATCTACAATGAACTCAGACAAATTTACAAGAAAAAAACAATCCCATCAAAAAGTGGGCGAAGGATATGAACAGACACTTCTCAAAAGAAGACATTTATGCAGCCAAAAGACACATGTAAAAATGCTTATCATCACTGGCCATCAGAGAAATGCAAATCGAAACCATAGTGAGATACCATCTCATACCAGTTAGAATGGCGATCATTAAAAAGTCAGGAAACAACAGGTGCTGGAGAGGATGTGGAGAAATAGGAACACTTTTACACTGTTGGTGGGACTGTAAACTAGTTCAACCATTGTGGAAGTCAGTGTGGCGATTCCTCAGGGATCTAGTACTAGAAATACCATTTGACCCAGCCATCCCATTACTGGGTATGTACCCAAAGGATTATAAAACATGCTGCTATAAAGACACATGCACACGTATATTTATTGTTGCACTATTCACAATATCAAAGACTTGGAACCAACCCAAATGTCCAACAATGATAGACTGGATTAAGAAAATGTGGCACATATACACCATGGAATACTATGCAGCCATAAAAAATGATGAGTTCATGTCTTTTGTAGGGACATGGATGAAGCTGGAAACCATCATTCTCAGCAAACTATCATAAGGACAAAAAACCAAACACCGCATGTTCTCACTCATAGGTGGGAATTGAACAATGAGAACACATGGACACAGGAAGGGGAACATCACACACTGGGGCCTGTTGTGGGGTGGGGGGATGGGGGAGGGATAGCATTAGGAGATATACCTAATGTCAAATGACGAGTTAATGGGTGCAGCACACCAACATGGCACATGTATACATATGTAACAAACCTGCACGTTGTGTACATGTACCTTAAAACTTCAAGTATAATAAAAATATATATATATATATAAGAACTTAAAAGAAAATGCCATGACTGAAATACACATGATTTTCTGGTCGGACGGGAGATGAGGCCTAGATAGGTGAATTGAGGCCAGATAGTACATGGCATTATATAAGCCTTCAGGAAACCATTTATATTTGTTTGGATCAAAATGAATGTCATATAAGAATTTTAGGATTTTTGACAGATCAATTAGTGGCCATGTAAGAGGTAGATTAGTTGGGGGAGAAACCAGAGGTAAGGAAACCACTGAAGAACCTGGTAGGATATTTTGAAAATAGAAGATGAGGTATTGAGCTAGAGCAGGAACTGTGGGTACAATGAGGATGTGACAGATTTAGGAAATTTTATGGGAGAATTATCAAATCTAGGAGTCTCGCTTATATGCATGGCGAGGAAGAAGGTGGAGTCAAGATGACTGAGAATTTTGTACCAGGAAATATTGTCGTGGTACTCTCAAGAGTCAGGATAGGAATTATGAGAGATTTGAGATATCAAAGACCAAGAAGACAACTTGAACTAGATTCCTAAAACACAGAAATGTCTCTGGACTGCAAATATAGGTTTATAATGTACCAAAGTTCTTGCTCTACATCTCGTTGATGTTGTTCAAAGAAAGGATATAGAATAAAAAAAAATTGCAAAGAAAAGAGCCCCTGGGTAATATCTGTGTCTACTGGGACTTGAATAAATTCTGCTTAATCCTGAGTAGGGAGATGATGTCTAAATATTGGTGTCCTCACTTCGCTTCATTAGTATGCAGAGTGTAACTCCCTCTTTTACTATTCTAGGAAACTGTAGACTAGCTTTATGGCTTTATTTATCTTTTGTGCATTTTCTGGCCAAAGCTTGCCCATTTTTATGCTCCTGAATTCCCTTGTTATTATATTAAAGGAAATGTCCCATTAGTGTTCTCAAGTCTAACAATTTCCAATATATTCTTATTTCTCCTTTAAAAAGATGAGATATCCTAGGCCGGGCTTGGTGGCTCATGTCTGTAATCCCAGCACTTTGTGAGGCCGAGGCCGGTGGATCGCCTGAGGTCAGGAGTTCGAGACCAGCCTGGCCAACATAGTGAAACCCCATCTCTACTAAAAATACAAAAAAATTAGCCGAGCATGGTGGCAGGCGCCTGTAATCCCAACTACTTGGGAGGCTGAGGCAGGAGAACCGCTTGAACCCGGGAGGGGGAGGTTACCATGAGCTGAGATCGTGCCATTGCACTCCAGCCTGGGCAACAACAGCAAAATTCCGTCACACACACACACACACACACACACACACACACACACACACACACACAAAGATGAGATATTCTAAACTCAGAGTCATAAGATGACTACTTGTACAAAAAGCAAGAGGAATTTTGCAAGTTCAAATCCTTAATCTTTGAATCAGGAGAGTTTTCTGCAGCAGAATCAGACTCAGTCCTGAGCACTTATTCTATAAACTTTTTGAAAGCACAACTTTTTGGTGAGCAGTAAACAATAACCTATGTTGAGCTGAATCAAATGGAACTGAACCAAGCCTATAACAATGTCTTCAATAAGGAATGTTTGACAATCACTACTGACTCCAAATATGTGGTTTTCTATAAAGTTTGGTTATATATATGTATGTTTCAGAAAGTCTAAAATGGAAATATTAATATATGTGTGATTGTACTTAAGAATAAAACTCAAACTCACTTTTATATGAAGTGGACAGAAAGTCAGTGATGACAGAAGCAGCAAGACATACTAGACATGGGATACTGCTTAGGAAAGTAGCATTTGCACTGATGTCCAGAAGTCGGACAGAGCACTTTTTTCTCAGAGATTAAAGACAAACTCACAAATCAGGTATTTATGCAAAGCCAAACTCAACTGTCAGTTGTGAGTATCTTCTGTGTACTAAAACTGTGGTTTACTTGTGTCATTGTTGTTTGCATTGATTGGCACACAGACGATAGGTAGTTACTTTATTCTTCTAGCATCTTCCGTGACATAAGCAATATAACCCCTATTTCCAGATAAAAAAACCAAGACTCTTTGAGTTTGATTAATTTAATCATGTAATCCAAACCTAGACTCAAAATAAAGTCTATCTGACCTAAGGCCATGTATGCTTTCCAACTTGTTCACACTGTTTTCATTAAATGCCTTGTTAAAATGTGTGGAGAGCTTCAATGAGGGGAAGTAAATACAGTTTCCAGATGTCTTAATTCTCTGAGTTGGGGCAAGAAAATCTGAAGAATATCTAGACATTGTCTCAACTATTTCCCATTCCAGATCCTGCCATTTCTTTGTTGTGTTTTATAGCTATAATTAAAATGAGCTCAATTAGTTTTTGGATTTTTCATGTCTTGTCCCTTTCCTCCGCTTGGGTTCTACATAATCAGTAACCCTCAATTAATATATGTACCGTTTCTAAAATGTTATCCTTGCCACTTAGTAACAATAACTAAACTACTAACTCTGGCGGATTAGCTTTTTACTGTGACCATCATTATCTCCCAAACATATCTTATGGAGACATTTGTTTTCATGCTTTGTTGTGTGATGCACCAACATAACTTTACAGACACAGAAGGACTGACTGATGACAGTTAAAGACCAAAGTGCCTTAGTTTGTCTAAATAATGACTTTGGGGTTGTCATATGTATGTATAAGATAAAACCTAGGACAAGGTGATTTGTTGAGGATAAGAAAAAAGGAATGAGGGAGATTATTGCTGACTTTAAATAGTGTGGAATGATGGAGTCATTCTGCGGATGGATTTGCACTGATATTTTCTATTTTATTTAGTTTCTGGCCTATGATCTATTGGGTTAGTATTAGTACAATTTATTTAAGTAAGGTGAATGCCTCTCTTTGCATGTTTTCCCTACAGAATCTGACATATGAGATTCTTTCTAGCATAAAGTTGAGAAACTAAAGACGTTTGGGTATCAGCAGAATTATAGACTGAATCCAGGGACACTTGTCATCTGCAGTGGATGTAATTCAGTGGTTGGCAACATTAGCTGTTTATTGGAATCTTGTGGACACCATTGGTGCTCAATCTTGCCTATAATGCAAATTATTTATGGACCTTTAAAAATTGCTGATGCATAAGTTCCACCCCCAGAGATTCTACTTTTATTGGCCTGGAGTGTGGCCTGGGTGTTGGAATATTTAGCCCTCTCTGACTCACCACCCACTCTCAAGAAGTTTCTAATGTGTAGCTGAGATAGATGCTAAATTTGAGGGAAAGTAATTGAAACAGGGACAAAGGAAAAAGGCTAGATTGGGTTGCAAAAGTAGCCAAAAGGAAGTCAACTGTAGGTGGTTTACAATGATGAGTATTGAATAGAGAAGAGCATCTTGAGGAACAGCGAGTTGCCATCACATAAGAACAAGATAAGGAGCCCAGCCAGGATTTGTGGCTGGCTATCTTGGGGAGCTTCATGGATGAGGTTACCATATAAATTCTCATATTTTAGAAATAAAATGGAGTGCTGTTTATAATTACACTGAACCAACAGGTATACACCAGGATTCTCTTGGACAGACTGCAGTGCATGGACTTTCTTAGCATGGGTCTCATTTATGACTTCTGACACTTACATCATTTGGCTTGTGTAAACATGTCCTTTATAAGTTAAGAAAAATATAATAAATGTTTTTGAACTCTAATAATATCATTCCCACAGCTCCACTAGCTTCGTTAGACAGTGATTCTCAACTTTAATACAAATAGCTGGTCCTCATTCCCAAGAGATTCAGATTTTGGTGAGCAGAGTCCAGACATTACTCTTTCTCTTTTAAAGCTTCCTAAAAGCACTGCTTAAGAGGGAAGGAGTTGTTCAAGCTCAAAGTGTTTGCATCCCTTTGTGGAGAGTTGCCTGATGTCAAATTGCAATTTTGTAAAGATTGATTTTGGTGATTTGTATAATGAACGTTATTGCCTTATAGCCACAACTCCTAGGTGTGTTTTGCTCCATTTGCTGCTAAGATTATGTAGCCACTATGTAATGGTTTAGGCACTCATAGTATTTAAGTTGCCATAACCTTGGGAAGAATTTGAGAGTGATCATTTCCAAATGTTTCACTGGTGTGATGACATTCAAGGGAGAAAAATGTCTAAAAGTTTTTATAAAAGTTTTAGAATGTCATGATACCTAAGATATCTTTCATGCCAATTTCTAAAAGGGCCACTATGGATGATAAGTAAAATAAAAGCATGTCTCCTTGTGTTTACAGTAAATATCAAACACTATCTCATTGTGAATATAACCAACTTTTCTTATCCAAGTTTCTATGTAGATGATCTGTGCTTCTCTGTTTTCTTATCTTTTATCTGGGGCTGCTTGTCTTTTGAGTAGTAGTTAAATTATAGTTCATTAGAATAGAGAACAAAATACAAAAGGAGAAAACCAACTCAACTATTTTCATTAATGGATCTGTTGATAGGGTTGAATGGCAGGAAAGTATGAAGCTGGAATTGAAATGATGCTTTTGCATTACCTGTTCAATGCAATGGATTCAACCTTTTTTCACTCCTTATGTTCTCAGAGGACAAATCATGGTCAAAGCTTTAATTCTCTTGGCTTTAAGACTTTGAGAGAAGTTTGAAGATATAATTGTGTAAATTAACTTGCAAACATGGATCATTGATATTTTTAAATTAATAAAAAATCTCTAAAGAAATATATATATGGTTATTCTAAAAAATTGAATTGTCAAGAAGACTTATTTGCATAATTTAGAGAACTTATTCTCTTCCCAGCACCTGTGTGGTAATATTTATATGGGCTACATCTGGTGTGAAGTTTTTACTCTTTCTTTTATTTTTTTAAGCACCTAACACCTGCTGGAAATTGCTATGTTGTTAGGAGAAATGAGGATTGTATTGGATTTTTCAGTGGATTCTACAACGTAATTAGTCTAGGAGTATACCTGGTTGAGCAGCAGAAAGGATGGGAGGTAGAGAGGCATGAAGGGCCGTAACAGGGTTTCCCTCTGCTGTTCCACAGAATATTTCTTTCATTGACCCTTTCTTAGAAAGTGGGCACTAGAAAGAACATCCCATCCTGGAGCCAACCAGCACCAATTATCTATAACTGTAGAATGTCATATCTGAGGCCTTAGAGAATTTCCAGAACCCAGATCTTTTCTCTAAAATGAAAATAAGGCTCAGGGAGACTGAGAAATATCCCCCCAAAGTCAAGCTAATCAATTTTAGTAGTTCCCAGTTCATTGCTCACTTTACTGCATCCTACTGTTTAGCCAAACATTTACCAACCCTAGGGCTCCACTGACTTGTTCTGGGAACTTTAAAAATAAGGAAGCATTTCCTGCCAAACAGTGAATGATGAAACTGCTGCAGGAACCCACTCTTCACGTTTACCTAATTTATATTGCAGGGTTCTATTTAAGATTTTTAGAGTGAAGAAAGCACCCACAATCAGTTTTGATGCTAAAAATATATGATACGCATTGGCCTAAAGGGTAATTTCCTTGAATACACTTTTAAAACACTAGAATCTTGCACTAGTATTAGCACAGAGTATCTTTCAATAAGGTGTTGTTTAAAGAATGAGAAGGATAGAAGAACATGATTTCTAATCTTTCTCTCATTGCACAATCCTTGAAGCAAAGATTTGACACATGCTCCAAGGTGGTATGTATATATGATGTAAGTCAGGGATGCTAATGTATATACTTGAAGCATTATGTCTTATAAACAGAAATAATTAATAAAAATATATCCTCTTATTCCACTGAATGAATGAAATCATATATCATCATGGGGAAGAGCACAAGCTCAACAACCTGATGGTTGTCAAATGCCAGCTTTGCTATTTATTAGCTCTGTGACATTGGGTAAGTTTTCTGTGCTTAATTTTGTTCATCTGTATAATAGGGACAACAGCAATTACCTCACGGGAGGATCAAATGCTTTAAGGCATAAAGCTTTAGAATAGTGCCTGCTATGTAGTGTAAGCATTCAATAAATATTAATAATTTTTATTGTTAGCCAGGAAGGATCATGCTTGGAAAGTCCTTTTGTGGACAATGTTTCTAAGGTTCCATCATTTCTCAGTAGGTTTTACCTATTTACCATGTTTCCCATCCACATGTGTGTTCTATTCTCTTCCAGGACCTTAGCGCAGAAACTGGATGTGAACATCCCATCTTCTAGACAACAGCAAATATTCATTATATTCTGTACAACTACAGAGTGTTAGAATGTATGATATATTTGATTTCCTGGCTCATTCACAGTGACGCCTTTTTTTAAAACATCTGAACTTTGACGGAGTGAGTATGTGATCCCTATGAAAGAGATGACTAGCCAGATTACAGGTATGATGACTCATACATGTAATCCTAGCACTTTGGGAGGCTGAGGCAGGAGGAATGCCTGAGGCCAGGAGTTCAAGAGATGACTATGTAGAAACCATGTAAGACATGGTTTATGTTTTTATAAACATAAACCATAAACATAAAACACGTTTATGTTTTTCTAGGTTCTACACATATTGGGTACACCAAAGATGTTTGGTAACTTGAATAGACTTAATAGACAGAAGTTTGATATTGGTGATTTTCCTTTTATTTGTATCAGATTGTATTATCAGAAGTTCCTGGCCTGTGTTTTGAGGCCAGATATTTAGAAAATACTGAGAATCTTGGAAAATAGGATAACCAGTCTGAGCAAAATACCTGTTGGCTTAAATCTCAAATATATTTCTGATTTCAGTGGTTATTCAGTCAGAGGAGAACTCAGAAAGGCAGGCATATGAGACCAAGTGCAGAAATAAACTTACAATAAATTTTATTTTATATTAACTCAATATTTGTTTATTAGAAAGAATCAGGCTTGGCTGCAGAGATAATGATGATAAATACAGCCAGATATATGATGACGGATTTAGCTGAGCAATGTCTGGAAGAGGTCTTTATAAGCAGAGACCCAAACAAATTCTTCAAAATTAAATGACTGTATTTTCATCACACACACACATACACACACACCCTCACAAGGCACGGTTAGGAGAACAAATAACTACTTCGATCAAAACAGAAACTCCAGAGCCCAGGCTTTACCTAACTGTGCAAGGAATGAGTGTGAGACAGACAATGGAACTGATGTGTTCTAAACCAATTCAAGAAGGTAGAGCTGCCAGAAGAAAAAGATTCTTTTAAGCAAAATCTGAAGCCACCTTCATGAAACATAGAGACTACTTTATACTACTTTACAATTAGAGTGCTGTGAAAGATGGAACAATTATTGGCAAGTCAAGAGCTGAAAATATCTGCTTGTGTGTAGAAGCTGTAGATGGGCACCCTTAAGCTTTTGTTCCCTCTCTGTCAACTCATTGAATCCAACCTTAGTGGGCACAATTCCATTGCTACTGCAGTGATAAGAGATTAGTGCCAGAACCAAGTTTCAATGCCTTAACATATGCTAGCCAATGCCCAAGTGGGAGATCTAAGACTTTGTCCAATCACAGAGCAATGAGTACCATGGGGCCCAAAGGAGAGAGACCTAACAAGTGAAAATGAATCAGTTGATATCAGGCACCCATCCTATTTTCTTGAACGTTGAGAACTCAGACCCAGAAAGAGGCTTATGTGAAATACACTGACCTAAAACAAAAGCTATTATACTTTCTCTTGAATCTGGCTTTTCACTGGATTCTTGTTAAAAGAAGTTACAGAAATACCGTATCTTGGTTGTAGGCTTGTGCAGGCCCATGGAGAAAGGTTTGATAGGCAAACATTTGTTTATTATGCTATAGATGCATATAATTTAAATAATTGGATTATGTGAAATGGTACTGTTCAAATAATCTTCTCCAATTTTCTAGGGACCCTCAAAAGAAAAAGAAGGAAAGGAAGTGGAAATGAAAGGAGGGAGAGAAGGAGGAGGAGGAGGAGGGTGGGGAGTAATGAAAGAGGAGAGGGAATAAAGGAAGAACGGAGGAAAAGAATAAAGATGGAGGGAGAGAAAATAAAAGAATCACAGACACACACCCTCTGCCTAAAGATGTTGAATAATTTTTTATTTTGGTAATAGAATGGATAATGTAGATGCCTTACATGGATGACAGTGAAAATGTTGGTTGTTTATCCTGAAATAGAATTTTTCCTCTTTGGGATTTTGGGAACCATTTTTAACCAATTTTTTAAAAAATTGAAGTAAATATGCATATAAAAATTTTGTCCAGGAGCACAAACTGATTCAGTTTGATGTTCAATGCATAGTCATTTGACATGTATATACACTTAGGTAAAAATCACCCAAAACAATATATAGAATAGTTTCATCACCCAAGTAAATCTTTTCATGCCCTTTTCCCCTTACAAGCTCTTCTTCCTCAAGAAGATGACCACTACTCAGATTTCTATCCCCATAGATTAGTTTTGCATGTTCTTGAAGTTCATGTAAATGTACTCTTTTTTGTTTGGCCACTCTCTCTCTCAACATTATGTTTTAGAGATTTATCTGTGTTGTTTTAAATATCCATAGTGTGGCCCAAGTAGTATTCTATTATTTGGATATACTAAAATATGTTTTATTCATTCTCCCTTTATGGACATTTGTGCTATTATCGGTTTTTAGCTATTGTGAATAAGGCTGAGATGAAGATTCTTATACAGGTTTTTAAATGAGCAAATATTTTTGTTTCTTTTGGGAAAATACATAAAAATGAAATTTCTAGGTCATATAGTAAATGCATATTTAACTTTATAAGAAACTCCAGTCTTTTAAAGTGGTTATACTATTTGACACTCCCTGCAAAAGTGAACGAGATTTCCAGTTGCTCTACATGCATGCCAGCATTTGATATTGTCAGTGTTTTTCATTTTAGCCATTTTAGTGGGCATGAAATATTACTGTGGTTTAAATCATATTCCTTGATGACTAAATAATGTTGGGTATCTTTTTATGTACTTATCGGTTACTATACATCTTCTTTTATGAAGCATCTGTTCACATCTTCAACCATAAGTTTAAAAATTGGGTTGTTTGTATTTTTATTGATTTGTAGTTCTTCCTATGCTATGAATATTTGTTTTGCAAATATTGATTCAATGGCCTGCCTTTTCATTTTCTAATAGTGCCTTTAAGAGAAAAAAAGTTTGGTTAAACTTTGATTAATCCAATATATTATTTTTTTCTTTTATGTTTATTGCATGTTGTATCTTACCCAAGAAATAATTGTCTTTCCCAAAGCCACAGAAATATTCTCTTGTGTTTTCTCCTTGACATTTTATAGTTCTAGCTTTTCTTTCAGCCTATAATCCATCTCAAATTAATTTTGTTTATAGGATAAGATTTGAGAGTATACACACACACACACAAGTATCGAGTTGTTTCGGTGCCACTTGTTAAAATATTTTTACGCTTTTTTCCATATTGAATTGCTTTAGTGCCTTTGTTGAAAAATAGTCAATGTACAGTGTTTGTATAGATTCATTTCTAAACTCCATCCTTTTCCATTTATCTATTTGTCTATCCTTATATCAGTATCACACTTTTTGATTACTATATTTTCATAATTTATGAATTCACATAATCTGAGCTCTCCAATATTCTTATTTTTCAAATTGCTTTGGCTCTTACAGATCACATGACTTTTTATAGAAATGTTAGGATAAACTGGTCAATTCTTCAGAAAATTCTGCTGGTATTTTAATTGGGATTGCTCTGAATCTATCAACGTGGGGAAAATTGACATCTTAACATGTTACATTTTTATTTAAAATATTTAAAAAATTTCTCTTAACAGTTACTTATAGTTTTCACCATATAGTTTGTACATGCTTTGCTAAGATTATCCCTAGGTATTTTATTTATTTTTATTTTAAATTATTATATTTTTGTATTATTATTAAAAACAAAAATACAATTGATTTTTGTATATTGAAATGGTATCCTGTGACTTTGCTAATTTATTTATTAGTTTTATTTGTTTTAGATTCTATGGGACTTTCTGAGTACAAAATAATATTGCATGTAAGTAATGACACATCACTCCTGATCTAATTTTTTTTTTGTCTGTTGCACTGGCTGAAACATGCAGTACACTATTGAAAAGATGGAGTGATAGTAGAAATCTTTACCTTGTTCCTGATCTTCAGAACAGATGTTTATTGTTTCACCATAAAATATGGTGTCAGCTCCAGGTTTGTCATAGATGTGCTTTATGACACTCAGGAAGTTTTATTTTCCAATATTCTGAGAGGTTTTAACATGACTAGGTTTTAAAATGTTATCAAATAACTTTTCTGCAACTCTTGTGGTGACAGTATGCTTTTCTCCCTTATTCTTTAGTGTGATGAATTCTATTGATTCATTTTCAAATATTAAACCAACTCTGTGTTTCTGAGATGAAACCCACTTACCTATAATGTATTATCCTTCTTGTATATTGATGGGTTTTTTTACATTGCTTACATGTGCTAATATTGCAGTGACACACAACCATCATATTTTTCTACTAGATTTATTTCCTGGTAGGAAATCTATTTCTGATCTCTAAAAGGGCCTATTAATATATCATACCCTTAATACTCTGTAAGTACATAGAAAATATTTTAAGAATAAAACGTATGAGTGAACAAATTAATGTATATGCATTTGTTCTCCCATGTCTCTTTCAAAAGTAGGTTTTGCTTAATAAAAAGTTCAGGCTTGACCTTGCATAAGTCAGAGTGCCTACAGCTTCCCATGGTGTGGACTGGTGTCAATGTGGCTCCATTTTCACCCATGAATGGAGGGGTCATTCATAAGACTGTGCGGTTATCAGGAAAGGGCTGGAATCCTAGTTTAGGATCTTTTGCTGCCAGGAAATCCACTTCTGCCCATGTCTCTGTTTCTTCATCTATAAAGTAACAAGGCTATATGTTCTAAAAGACCCCTTTTATGTATAAAATTCTATATATCTGCAGGTGGTAACTGAATTGAGGGAAAGCCAGGAATAGAAACCAGGTCTCTTCAAGCCAAGATAGCTATTTCCTCCACTGGATTGCTCTGCCTTCCTCTTTCTAATACTGACTGTTTAATGCTGGTTATTTGGAGGCTTATTAAAATTGTTCAGCACAAGGAAAACCTGTTCTCCATCGCTATCATCACCAACTTCTTTGAAGTGACTCTATAAAATTTGTTACACCGGTCTGTATAAATGTGAGCATGGAAGTCAAACCCTTCTTTACTGACATGTTAATCTCCCCTTGGAACCTTTCTGTGTGTATGATTCATTTGGAGGGTAATGGTCCTATCTATGTTTTATAGTTGTCTAATCCTGATTTTTTTCAGCTTGTTATATTTCCTGTGCCCAACTGTTACACAGCTGGTGCTAAGCTCATAGAATATTCTTCAAATCAGCCTTTGGATTTTCTCACTGAGTTTTGTTAAGGAGAGATTAAAAATATTAATTTTTAATTGAATGAGTAATATCCAAATATAGTCTCATTTTTAAACCTTCAAACATTATAGATAATGTCTAGGTCCTTATAAATCACTCACTTTCTTTCCTAGTCAGCTCCCAAGAGGTAATCCATTTGGTGAATTTTCTTATGTATTTACATACATACATGTACCTAATGGAATCTAAAATATCATATAAATGCTATGATGCAATGCACATTTTTTCAGTACATTCCCTCATTGTGTTGTTTTAGTTCATCAATATAATAGATGGTTCTGCAGTGAAGGTTCTTATGTTGTCTTGTACACAAGTGCGGGAGAAGTGGGAGGAGGTAGAATTGCTGCATCATGGAGCATGTACATATTTAATTTTAATGGGTATTATCCCAGCAAAATGGTTAAGAGCATAGCTCTGAAATCATATTACCCAGGTTTGAATTCCCACTCTGTTACTTACTAGATGTATGATTTGGATCTGGTTAACCACTCTACAAAATGGGGATAAAATCTCGTAGGATTATTATGGGGGTTAAATGAAATGATATGTGCAAAACACTGAAAATACTACCCAGCATATCCTCCACTATCAGTTCACTGAAGCCAAGCACCATGCCTTACAGATGTTGTGTCCCTAATAAAGTGCTGTACTTGGCACATAATAGGATGTCAGTAAATTCTTATTGAACAATCTTAGTTACATACCTAAATGGCTATTCTTCCACATAGCTGTAATAGCTCCTTGCATAAGATGAGAAGTGGAGTCACACTTGAAAAGAAGCATTTATTGAGATCTTCTACTGGCATACATCAGGCACCATGCTGGGTGTTCTACATTCCCTACTTAATTTAACTGCCCTACGATCAAATAATTGGGGCTCAGAGAAGTTAAGTAACTTGTCCGAGGCCACACAGCTAGTAAATTTGAATTCAAACTCAGTGTTGTCTGCTTTCTTATACACTCCGAGGACAGACAGCAGAATGCCTTCATTTCCTATAGACATCATCCCCATAGGAGAAGGTACACTTTTTCTGGAGATGTCATAACCCTACATCAAAAACCCTTAGAGAGCATTTTTTAGAAAGAGAAGGCACTATTTTAAAAATCTAGTTAACATTAAGTTGAGAAAAATTCTGGATATTGGCAAAAAAAATTTAAAAATGTTTTAAAATTCAGAGAAATGGAAATGATGGATTGTGTCAATTGTTGCAGCCAAAATAATACTCCAATATTAAGGGGATAACAGTCATGAATACTGCAAATTTTATACACAATAGAATATAGCATCTATACTCACAATGAAGAATAGAGTTACAGCACAGACCAAGAATATGATACTCCTAGCTTTTTATGCCTGGGTTTAGTACTGTGTCAATTTGCCATTGCTACAATGATGTTGTGGAACAAAGAACCACAGAAACTCTGTGGCACAGGAATAGGACTTTATTTAGCTCAGACATCTGTGGTTGGCTGACAGCCAGTTGATTTAGGCTGGGCTCCTTCACATTCTGTTTGGTTGGGGCAGCTCTGTTCCATGAATTTTTCATTTTCTTCTTGGGACCAAAGGGCTAGCCAGGCTATATTCTACTCATGGTAATGGCAAAAGTCCCGGAGAGCAAGAATAATCAAACAAGGACTCTTAAGGCTTGGGCTCAGAATTGACATACCTTCTGATATCGTTTGGATTTGTGTCCCCGCCCAAATCTTATGTCCAGTTGTAATACCCAATGCTAGAAGAGGGGCTTGGTGGGAGGTAATTGGATCATGGGTGTGGATTTTCCCCTCGCTGGTCTTGTAATATAGAGTGAGTTCCCATTAGATCTGCTTGTTCGAAAGTATGTAGCATCACCCCCTTCTCTCTATTCTTCCCGTCTGGCCATGTAAAACATTCCTGTTTCCCTCCCCTTCCATCACGATTGAACGTTTCCTGAGGCCTCTCCAGCCATGCTTACTGTAAAGCCTGAAGAACTGTGAGCCAATTAAATCTCTTTTATTTATAAATTACCCAGTTTCAGGTATTTCTTTATAGCAGTGCAAGAAAGGACTAATACACAATCCCTTCTGCTATATTCTATGGACAAAGGAAGTGACATGGACAAGGCCAAAGTCAAGATGTGGGGAAATATGCTCTGTACTTGTACTGAGAGGATCTTCAGGATCACTTAGCAAAGGGTATAATTCAGAAAGGGTGAAAAACTAAAACCAATGATGAAATCGACCATTAGGATTGTAATCAAAGGGTTCCCTGAGGAAATGTATTTTCTGTACCAACTTTGGTTGGGCAGGTAAAACAGAAAGAGGAGGTGGATGATATCTCTGTGTTTTTTTTTTTTTTTTTTTTTTTTTTGTAATCACTACTGTCATTCCACCAGTGAGGCTGTGATGAAAAAAAAACGCCTTCTTCAATCCTCCCTTCCCTATGGGCACATGGAGTGAAGAGTAATTTAAAATGAGCAGACTGCTTGTAGATTTTTCAGAACACCTGCATCTTATTTTAGAAGCAATTGACGCTCTTGGCCTGGTTTGTGCTTGGGCAATTTGGAGTGATTAAAGAATTTTGCATTTCTCAAGTGCTCCTGTGTTCAGATGAACCAAATTGGGGTTGAGCGCAAATCTGCAGGTTTTTTTTTTTTTTTTGGATGCACATTTAATTACTAATCACCTAAGAAAATGTCCAGGATATGAAGTTTCCAATGCCCCACTTAGAATTCACAGCAGAATAAATTTAGAAGCCTCCCTGGCAAACTCCAACTCATTGGCTTGGTACTTTTCTTCCTTTCCTTTCTTATATTTAACAACAAGTAGTCCTCCCCTCTTTGTTTTGTCATTTTTGCTCACATGTTGCAGGCTTGAAGGAAGTCAGCTTCAGAGGAATGCTCTTTAAAGGAAAATTTTAATTCTGGTGTGGGGACTAGTGTGATGAGATAAAGTAGGGAGAAAAGATGAGTGGGGAATGAATGGGATTAGAGACAGCCAAGAGATATTGAAACAAAGAGGATGTTTTAGAATGTATTAATACATTTTTCCCTTTTTTATTTGCTTGTGACCTCCACATTCAACTAGAGGAAGGCTTTGCCTCCAGGAAGGAAGCCATAAAGCAATAGCAGAAAGTGAATGTGTAGCTTTTGATTGTCTTGAAGGCTAAAAGGATTTCCTGAATTGCAGAAGCTCCCCTTACGTAAGACTCAAACTTATCTGGCAATAATCATATAATTTTATTCTAAACTCTGGTATAGAGAAGGCCCAGACTATGAGCACAAGAGGGGTACTATCTGACAAAAAGTGGACATACAAGTCTTCTGCAGAATGAAGAAGAAGAGTGTTTAGGAGATAAGTCTATGGTGCCACAGGGGACCCCAGCTGTGCAGAGCCACAGTTGCACTGAGGTCAGAGACCTACTACCTAAATCCTGGGTGAAGTGAACTACTTTCACCCTCGAGTTCAGAAGGGACTACAAGAGGAACAACACAGGACCAGGCAGCCCTCCACTGCTTCTAGGAGCATTCAAGCTTCCTCATCCTCCCAGACATGACCATAGAAAAGTGGGAGGGGTGGGGAGACCCCTTAAGAAAAAAGAGAAACAGCCTTGACAAGGAATTTGATGCTTGAGTTGACAGAGCACTAACCTAAAGGAGTGTAAAGAACTAGAAAGCGTATTTTAATGCAAAGAGTGTTACGTTTTATTGGTATATCCCCTGTAGGATTTGAATGGACCTATATTTTGGCATTTTTAATACCTAATTAGCAGCAACCCTGAATTCCACTACCTATCGACCCCCATTCTCTTTCCAGTTCTGCCTCAAGTTGGAAAATGATCAGATTTACTCTCTGAGCAGACAGGGCCAATAATACATTCATTTATGCTTAATCATATATGCCCAGGATAGCAGGAAGATAAATTATTCAGAACATTAGTTTCCAGAACTAGTTACACTAGCTAAGACTAAAGATATTAAAATAAAGGGAATTCCCTTCTTTACTGGAGGAGAGACAGAGAGGTAAAGGGCATATGTATAAAACATGTCAGACAAAGCTGATACTTAGTGGGCATAGTGGTGATGAGCAAAGCCAAGCACATATGAGCAAGTGGACCCAGGTCTAGCCATGGAGGGAGATGAGACAGAAACCTTAGGAGACCAGAATCTGCTAGAGGAATGGCAGGAACACACACCTGTGAGGAGCCAGCCATGAGATGACATTACACTTGAGAGAGACCATTAGGCCAAGTTAGTTAGAATCTGAGGGGAGATGGGGCAGATGCTATAATCATCATCCTTCATGCTCTTCCTGCGATATGACTTTGACTTCCCTCCCTTCAAGCTGTGGGCTGTAGGTGGGCTTGTGATACTATGTGACTTCAGAAGCAAAGATCATGGAAGGAAATAGAGCTTCTGCTTAATTTTCCGGGAGTGTCCACCTTTGGAATTAGCAGCTGTCATGCTGCAAGGAAGCCCTAGCAGCCACATGTAGGTTCAGCTTATGGAACTGAATGTAAAATCTCGATGCTCAGCCTGCCATCTGAAACAGTTTACCAGTGTAAAAGACATAGGGAAATACTTTCTTGTTTCTCTACTCAGGTCTGAACCAGAAAACTGAACAGTCATCTCCTTACTGTGTGGGTAGGAGTTCACAAAGCAGCCAGTTTATTCTATTTTTGCCATGTTTTCTGTAAATATTTCTAATAAATTCTGTCTGATTCATTACCTTTATCCACTTCCTGAGCAGTTCAAACCCTTAGCACCACTCTTACTACATCTATTTTGAGACAGTTTTTCCCTATCAACAGCCAAAGAATGGGGATAAAGGGAAGCTGGCTGTGCTGGGGAAACTGGAATGATGTAATGGGTTTTTACAGGTAAAGTTCTGACAATAAAGCACAGTGAGTGAGGGGGAAAGAATCCAGGTAGTTGGACATGCAGGGAATTTCTGTTAATTCATTCCCTCAAGAGTGTTGGAAATATATGCAGTAAGGAGAGAAGAAGATACCAGCGATTCCAGAGGATCTGTACTAAACGAACACCTCTTGGATCCTGGAAATCGTACTAGATGTTCTTGATGAATATGTACTTACTAAGTGCCAAGAACTTCTAAGTGATTTACATGTATTAACTCATTACAATAACTCCATGAGCTAACTACTATATTTTTACATATAGGAAATTTTACATATAGGAGATAGGCACAGAAATGTTAAGTGCCTTGCCCAAAATTGCTCAGCTTGTAAAAATTTGAATTTAGGCAGTCTGGCTTCACACCTTGTGCTATTGACCTCTATGCTATCAGGCTTTAAATGCTTAATTTAATTATAGTTAACTTTGCAGAATTGAGAATAAAAGCAAGGATGCAAACTGGCAATGTTTACCCCATTTCAGTAAGAAATGGAAACTCAATCCTCAATTCACCGTGATTAGTTTTCTGTCACAATACAAAGCATGTAAATATCCAGAATTTTTTTCCTCTAGTGTCCAATCTCTGCCACATTAAATACTAGACGATAGCGGAACAACCTCTACATAAACTTCAGGCCAGAAAGATTAGGTACCAATAATTTTATGCCCTCATCGAGTTGCTTTTATTGATTTTTTATTGATTTATTCAATCAATCAATCAACATGTTTATTAAGTGCTTATTGTGTTAAAGGCAATGAGTGGAAGTAGCTGAAAAATACCCTTAGACATATTTGAACTGCCTTGGGCCACATTCTATCTCTTGACTGTCGTGGGTTCTCAAAGGTATGGCATGTTTCTCATAATGAAGTTAAGTAGATTAAGGGATTTCTGTTACAGTTAACTTTTAGCCTTCAGAAGATTTGACTATGATTAAATGGGTGAGCAGTATAAATTCTGGAAGGCAGAACTGCATAGTAAAGAATAAAAACTCTGGTATCAGAGACAACTGGGTTTGAGTCCTCGGTTTGCTATTTGGATGTAACCTCAGGTAAAACATTTATCTTTTTTAAGCACCGATTTCCTGTTGTGAAGAAGGTTGTAAATAGTGTTGTTGTGAAGATTAAGTGAGATAATATATTTGAATGGTAGAGTATGATAGCTGGCACAGAATTACTATTCAATATAAGTTGATGATGGTGGGTGGTTATGATGATGCAACAGCCACATATAGTCAGAGGTCAGTATTTTAAATCATTTTTCTAAGGCTTTTAAGCAGGTCTTAAATCCAGTGAATACACATAAATGGAATCAAAACTTTGAGTCTATTTTTCACTTTGTTAGGTGATTTCACAAGTCATCGTTTTCTCTCCCCTGATTTTGAAATATAGTTTGAAGTAACTAGTGAGGGAAGCAATGGTTATTAAATAACAAAGGTATAAACTGGAAGTAGCAGATGAGATAAAGCTCATAGCTCATAGTAATTGCACTTTTTGAAGAGTATTATCTTGCGTAGTGTACATAATATGCTTACGTGTCATGTAGGAGCCATGAAGTTTTGAAGAACTTCAAAAGAGAAAGAAGGTTGAGGCTAAGGAAGATGCAATGTGGCTATGTATATAGGTTCTACAATTTAAAAATTAAAAATGGAATGGGAGAGAAAATGATAATAACACCTTAACTGATGGCTGTTGTGACTATTTTATGAGCTAATATCTTTTAAAACTATTTGGCATAGAGTAACTAGTAATATGTTAATAATTATTACAATAACAATTTAGCTTCAAGGAGCTCACAGTCTGGTGAACACACTGGACTTGAAAGAAGTGAGGAAAACATTGCATATAAGAACATACAGAGATGGGCTGGGCGTGGTGACTGAGCATTTTGGGAGGCCGAGGCAGGCAGATCATCTGAGGTCAGGAGTTCGAGGCCAGTTTGTCCAACATGGTGAAACCTCGTCTCTACTGAAAAATACAAACATTAGCCAGGTGTGGTGGCAGGCGCCTGTAGTCCCAGCTACTCAGGAGGCTGAGGCAGGAGAATTGCTTGAACCTGGGAGGCAGAGGTTGCAGTGAGCTGAGATTGTGCCACTGCACTCCAGCTCCAGCCTGGGTGACGGAGCGAGACTCCATCTCGGAAAAAAAAAAAAAAAAAGAACATACAGAGATTCTTGGGCTAATTCATAAAGAGTGCTTTTACCTGTCTGAGGAACTAAGCAAAATGTCATAATGACCTTAGAGAGTGAGCAGACATTTGTGTATGCTGTAACTGCAACACAGACTGGGGCTAAAGAGGGGACGAGGATGAGGTGTGTGCAGAGTAGTAACCAGAGATAAGGAAATGGAGGGACAAACTTCTTTCTAATTTTCCCTCTCCATCTTTCTGTTGTTTTTTGCTGCTCACCTTCCCCATGCTTCCCACATCTTCTAGCAGCTCTATCCAAGGGACATTTGGTTGTGTGTGTTAAGGCCATATTTAGACCAAGTCAGGGAGAAGAAATCCATGCTCTTTGTAAAGGTTTCATGGCAATACATCCCCTCAATCTCCTCCCTCAATATAAGGCTAAGGAAACCAGAACAGAGGGGCACATTTTGACCCACCGATAAAGGGGACAAGGCCCCTAGAGTGTGCCAGACTCACACTTCCAGTGCTTGATATATGGAGTATCATTTCATCCTCATAGGAACCCTGCAAGGGAGATCTCCTTGTTCCCACTTAGCACAAAATAAAACTGACGCTCAGGGAGATTTTTAAAAAGCTGGAACTAGGACAATTTCAAACAACAATCTAGAAATAAGGTACTACCTGTTCAAACAGCCTGCTGAATATTTGGGGAGAAAATAACTCCTTTTCACCGTGGACACTGTCAACACACGTTACTTCATCTTTTAAAAATGTATCTAAAATGTGTTGAATTGCTTAATAAATACTCACACTTTCAATGTAAACGCTCTTCTTTTCTATGTGCTCCATATCGCTTTGCCCTCTTTATTTGAGCAACGTACCCTGTAGTGTGTAAATAAGAGATGACAGCTCCTATAATACGTGTGGGTGAGGAATGGGTTCGATAAAACAGAAGCATGCACAATTCAAATAGCAAGCCCTGTCCCACTCAGTTTATGCACAAATAACTTGCAGATTCTCTGATTTTCTGCCAGCAACTGCCTCCTCTTCCCCTCCCCACTGCCTTCCAGAAGTCTCTCAGAATCATATCCGGCACGGTGTATAGAGATAGGAGTAATAGGGATAAGACTTGTTTTTTCTGAATTTTAATTATTGTCATTTAGCATTTGCTCAGTGTTTTGTGATGAAAATCGTTGGGTTTTACTTATTTTTACTATGGGCAAATTGAGATGCCTTTAATCATAAAGGCAGCCCCAACCCAAGGTACCCTTGCATAATAGCGGAAGGGGTGAGATTAGGAGTAAGCCTTTAGAGCACCGGTGCAGGACTCAGGATATGGATTTGTGGCTTGTTCTTATATGCCGTATTTGTCTTATGGGTAAATGCTGTATATCGTTTTGATTTTTCCTATCGTGGAACACTTTTCAGTTATATGTCTGGTGGAATCAAGTGTTTCATGTTACTTTTAAATGTACATAGGTGGCTTAATTTTTTTTATTTACAATTCAGCACTTCAGATGTGAAGAGATATGGCTTTTTCTTTTTTTTTTTTTTTTTTTACAACAGAATATAACTTGCTTCTGAGCCCTCATTTCTGATTGGTGGTGATGGAAAACTTAGCTTGCCTGTTGGAGGTAACTGTCACTTCCAATTCACTGCAGTCTTGTCCAGGTTAACACAATCATGTTGGTGTAAATAGTCAACTGAGGATTTAAATAGTCAATTCAAAATGCAAACTTCTTATCTAAGTGATTCTCCCCTCTCAAGGAATTTCCCCTTCCTGTCCTCTTTCCAGTATGTTATCTGGGTTCAGAGTGGGTACTTGTATAACTACACAACACAGAGGAAGAGAGTCCAGTTCTCATGCAGTCATCTGGATCCCTGCTGGCCACCTCTGAAGTAGATGTCTATATCCACTGTGCTAAGTGGTCTTGGAAATGGATCCAGTTGGTCATTAGTGGAGCTCTAGAACCTGCTGATGATTCATGGTCCCTGCCAACTTCCTCTCTATGCCCTCCTCATTCAAAGTGAAGGTTTCTTTCAGCTTATTGGCCCTTTGGCCCATTCCCATTCTTTGTAGAAACTTCTGCAGACCACATTCAGCCACTGGAAAACCAAAATATGCTTTCTCATCTCTCTCCTCTCCTTCACGATGCCATTCTGCCATTTCTGTTTTGTGGTAGACAGGTTGGCCCAGGCACTCTAAGGCCCAGGCTGGCACAGGTTGGCCCAGGCACTTCAAGCCTAAGTCCATTTACAGTTTCTATTCCATCTATTCCTAAAGAAGGAGGCAGAGGGCAGGTCTCAACTCGTGTTTCAGCACTGCTGTTTTACACACACGCACACACCCTCTCTCCAGGCATCTCTAACTCAGGCAGAACTTTTATTTCCTCCCAATATGGCAGAAACCACCTTCAATTTCATATCAGGATATTTCCTTCTTTATTGTTTATAGTTTACTTTGCAACTGAGGTGATCTCCAAAGAGGCTGATAGATGAGGACTAATTGCTAACTGCACTCCCAGCTGCAACAGGCATGAAGGAAGATATGGGTGGTCCATCTCCATGTTCATTACAGTGATAGGTCAGCTGTCTCCAACCTTTTTGGCATCAGGGACTAGTTTTGTGGAAGACAATTTTTCCATGGACATGGGGTGGGGAAGGAAGGAGATGATTTTGGGTTGAAACTGTTCCACTTCAGACTCAGATCATCAGGCGTTAGATTATCATAAGGACCACGTAACCTAGATCCCTCACATGTGCAGTTCACAGTTAATGCTCCTATGAGAATCTAATGCCGCCACTGATTTGACAGGAGGCAGAGCTAAATGCTTACTTGCCCTCTGCTCACCTCCTGCTCTGCAGCCTGGTTCCTAACAGGCCACAGACTGGTACTGGTCCATGGTCCAGGGGTTGGGGACCCCTGTGTGATGATTTCTATGCATGCTTAGTGATGTAATTTTGCTTTTCTAAATACCCTGTGTTCACATCTAAATTCTCTGTGCTCTTTTCCTATTTAGAAATCTATTTGCCTCATGACAGTGAAAGGGGAGGCAGTTTATACTTCTTTGGAAGGGAATAACCACTTCCTTATGGGACTTTAAACCAAACATTGATTCCCTATCCTTTTTTCTGCCAACAAGAGGTTGAAACATGAAGACCTGATACTTCCTATGTAACTCCTCTCTTCCTGAAGTGGCTTGATGGTTCTGTCTAACCATTTGAGCTTAGTATGGTGATAGACTACACTTATTTGAAGAACGAAAACAACATTTCTCTCCCTTAAGAAGTGGTGATGAATGGGGGAAGAACAGAGTTCTGTTCTCTTCCCACAGAGAAATGTGTGGGTGCAGGCAGGAGGGAGAGAGCAGAAAGAGAAGGAAAGGTTAAAAGGAAGTCACACCACTCCTTGAGAAGTTTCCTCAAGAAGATGACACAGCAGGTGGCCCCACATCAAGATAAATGGTCACACCTGAGACTCCCCTGAGTTGGTGTGAATGCCTGTTTATATAACTATTACCAGAAAACCACTCCAAGTGCATTTTCTACCAAGATTGGGCCATTAACAAGCCAGAATTCGTATTCTAGAAGCCTATATGGGGATATGGGGACATACAACTGGCATGGCACAAAAAGCTAGTTAATAAGCACCATAAAGGACTCCTCAAAGGGCTGCCAAGAACTCAGGGTGGTGTCTGAATGTGTTCAAGAGCCACATCATCTCATCTGAAGTTAGCAACTGCAGCACTAACACAAATATTTGTCTTGCTGCTTTGACAGTCCTTTGATTAGAATTCTAGAGTTAACTAGCTAGATATACCACACACTCAGCTGAGCAGAAATTTAAATCAAACTGTAGAATTAAAATCCTGTTGATAAATATTTTGGCTGACTGTTTCCTACTGAGGCTGGCATTTAGCCAACATATTTGTTAACTGAGCTGTGATTTGTTCTTTTGGATTCCAATTCACTAGTTCTGTGTCACTCTTTGGCTGCTGACAGGGCTCACTGCAGAGGAAATTCAAATAAAAACTAATAATGATCCAAATGACTAATGGAATAAAATTGGAAACTAATTGAGAAAATTATAGAGGAGAAAATCAGCTGAACTTGGAGTAGAAGATATAAGGCTGACTATGCTAACTCCTTCATTAAAATGTTTCTACTCACCCTGACAGATGTGGCTTTTCCCTTTACTAACCTAACCCCTCATGGCACTCACCAAGTTCTCCCTCATGCTACATGAATGTATGTATGTATATTCATGATTGTTTCCTCCTGATTGGACATTAAAGTCCATGAAGTTAAGTGCACTTCATCCATCTGACATTGCCTCGTATAGGGCCTCATACATGATAGATAATTGAACTGCAAAAGAATAGAGCTATAATGAAACTTTGCAATGGCATAACGTAACCCCTCCTTTAACAGGTGATAGAATTGAGAACTAGAATATTTTAACAATCTGCCTGGGGTTACCTGGTAGTGGCAACACAATAACTAGGTGCCAGTTCTCTTCACTTTCAAGCCAATAGTCTTTTTTTCTTTTTATAACATTATTACATGCTCACATGTTACACATACATATGCTGTGACAAACCCATGTGTGACAAAAATATAAAGTACAAAATAAATGTATACTATAAACCCACCACTCAGAATAATCACTATCAATATTGTACTATATATGTATAAATGAATATATGTGCATAAAATAAACAGGTTAATATATTGATATATAAAATTAAAATGCATATGCAAATATGTAATCTCACTATGTTAATAAATATAAATGTTTATCAACACTATTAACTAAATATATAAATCAGCATAAATTAAGTAAATATAAATATATTTTAATATAATGTATGATATATATTTTGTACCTTGATTTTAAAATTAATTTTACATTATATTATAAGCATTTTCCCATGGTGTTATATTGTCTCCATCAATATTATCTTTATAGATTACCTTGAAAAGTCCATTGTGTGGACATAACACGATTTTTTTGACTTATTCTCTATAATGTAGGTTTTTTAATTATTCAAAATGTTCACCATTTTAATGCAAGTATTTTCTTTCAAAAAATCTTTCATCATTAAAATGCAAAGATATGGAGGGCAGCATTGCACACAATTCTTGTCCTCACCTCAGATTTTTTTTTACAAAGGTGATTTCTAAAACCAGATAATGAACTATTTAAGGCTTTTGATACATATTACAAGATTGTTTTCTAAAAAGCTTACACCAATCTGTACTCCATTATTATCTGACTCTTTTGAATAAGGTGTTATATCAAAATTGCTTTATTTTAAAAGGCTTTTTTTATTAGCTGAAAACTAAGAATATATTTTATTTGGTCTAAGAAAACTTATAACTCAGAAATTTTATATTTTAAGTCATTGTAAATCACATATATTTACTAAATACATTCACATATGTGCATATATATATATACACACATATTCATGTATACGAATATACATATAGTAACTAGAATTTACTGAAGGTATTGAAATACTTTTAAAATGATGTCCTATCACCTGAGCTTATTGTTTTAAAAATAAAAACAAGTACTTTTATAGTATAAAAGTACTTTAATACCTTCTGTATTAAAGTTCTATGAGATTCTTATATAGGTTTTTCTCTCTGTCAGATTTTCTTTTGGTAAAAGCCTTTAAGGAATACTTTAATGTTCATCAACATTATTATTATTTTAATCTGAAATTTTAATGTTATTTCCTTTACTATTGATTTTCAGGATTTGTAGGGTTTATTTTTAAATATATTGTATCACCCACGGAAATAAACTAGTTAAGTGCTTTGCATACCTGTGTATTTCTTACTGGTCTCTGTGGGGTAAATTTGTCAGCAATAACAGCTGAATTTTCTCTGTTCTCTGTTGCATTATCTTGGGTGCTCTAATAAGACTAGTGCTTCTAAGCACTGACTAACAGAACTATATCATAATCTTGTTCTTTGTATTTTTTCTAATATATATTGAATATGAAGCCTTTAAAATATCCATTTGCATAGAAAGAGTCAACATGAATGTCTTATAATTTTGTCAAATGTATTAGTAAAACAAATTTTAAGGTCATTAGTTTTCAAAATCATTTTTTGACATTTTTATTTTGAAATAATTTTAGACTTAACATAGAAGCTGCAAAAATTGTACAGAGACTAGGAAAAGCACATCTATTGAGACAGAAAGTTGCCTAAAGCTGAGGATGGGAACAAAGGTGACTGCAAATGATTCTAAGGTTTCTTCTGAGGGTGATGAAAATACTCTAAAAATGGTGGTAATGGTTTTGCAACTCTGTAAACTTACTAAAAACTGTTCAATTATACACTTGAAATGAGTGAATTTAATATTATGTATATGATACTTCAATAATGCTCTTAAAAATATATTACAGAAAGTTCCCCTGTACCCTTTATCCTGTTTCCCCCAAGAGAACATCATATATAAATAACCTTAGTACAATTATCAAGACTGAATTTGAATTTGGTACAATAATATTACCTAAATGACAGATATTATTTGGATTTCACCAGTTTTTCCATGTACTTTCTCTCTTCATCTTCTTTTCATTTTTGGTGGAGGGTAGTATATAGTTCTATCAATTTTATTACATGTATTACATGTGTAGATTTGTACAACCATCACCACTATCAGGATATAGATCTATTCTATCACTCACCCCCCAAAAAAAATCTCCCTGTGTTATCCCTTTATAGTCACTTATTTCCCCATCCACAACTTTGGCATCACTAATCCGTTCTCCATCACTGTAATTTTGTCATTTGAGAATCTTATATAAAGTGAAATCACACACTGTGTAACTATTTGGGATTGGCTTTTTCACCTCAGAATAATGTCTTCAGAGCCATCCTTTTTGGGTATCAATAGTTTGTCCCTTTTTATTGCTGTGTAATATCTCATGATATAGACATCCAACAATTTATTCAACTGGTACAGGACATTTGTACTGTTTCCAGTTTGAGGTGATGAACATTTATGTACAGGTTTTTATGTAAATGTACATTTTCATTTTTCTAGTGTAAACACTCAGGAATGGGGTTGCTCAGTCATATTTGTCAGTTTATAAGAAACTATCACACTGCTTCCCAAACTGGTGGTACCATTTTACATTCCCACCAACAGTACATGAGAGATCAAGTTGTTCTGCTATCTCATCAGCAGTAGGTATTGCCAATATTGCCATTATTTTAGCAATGCTAATAGATGTGTAGTAGTATCTCATTGTGGCTTTAATTTGCATATTCCTAATATCTAGTGATATTGAACATCTTTTCATATGCCTATTTGCCATCTGTGTATCTTTGGTGAAGTGTATTTTTAAGTATTTTACCCGCTTTTTAAATTGGATGGCTTGTTTTCTTACTGTTGAGTTTAGAGAATTCTTTATATATTCTGGTTATACAAGTCTTTTGTTGGACATATGACTTGCAAATATTTTTTCCCAATCTGTAGCTTGAGTTTTCATTCTCATAACAGTGCCTTTAGCAAAACACAAATTTTTCATTTTGATAAACTCTAATTTACCAACTTTCTGTTATGGTTCATGCTTTTGATTTCATGTCTAAGAACTCTTTGCCTAATCCTTGGTCATGCAGAGACAGATATTCTTCCTTTTCAAACTATATTTCTTTTGCTTGCCTGGTTGCACTGTGCTATCTTGAAAAGAAGTGGTGAGAGTAGACATGCTTGCCTTGTTCCTGATCTTTGGGAGAAAGAATTCAGTCTGACACCATTAAATATAATGTTAGCTGTAGGTTATTTTGTAGATTCTCTTTATCATGCTGAGGAAGTTCCCTTCTGTTTCTACTTTGCTGAGAGTTTTTA
This sequence comes from Homo sapiens, assembly GCF_000001405.40. Lineage (NCBI taxonomy): Eukaryota > Metazoa > Chordata > Mammalia > Primates > Hominidae > Homo > Homo sapiens. Next base: position 131,836,416 of record NC_000003.12, on the reverse strand, counting down.
GCACAAATGGGTGTTAAATTTTATCAAAGGCTTTTCTGCTTTAATTAATATAATCGTACACTTTTTTTCTTTTAGACTGTAAATATGGGAGATTGCATTAACTAATTTTTGAGTATTGAACCAGCTTTGCATCCTAGAATGAACCCCACTTGGTCAGGGTATAGGTGTCTTATCCCTTTTATGTATTTACATTTTGTTGAGAATTTTTGGATCTATGATCATAAGGGCATGGTTCAACTCTCAGTTTCATTTTTTAAAGCCTTTAAAAATGCTATTCTGATCTGCGCCACTTGTGCACTGCTACCCAGAGGCCAACCTGAAACCAGTGTGATATTTCATGCCATAATTCATTCAGTTCTCAAAGTTTTTGCTGTGTTGATTGTGGTCAGTTTCCTGCATAGGTCACTTCAGGGTAAGCCTAGGACTTCATACAAAGATTGAAAAGATTCCTTTCCTACCTCTCTCTTCTTAGTAATCCTCTCCAACTGTGGGAATGGGGGAAGGTAGAGAGATGCTGCCTTTGCTTACCTTTGCTTAGTGAGGGACTGGGGTAGTTCTACAGAGCTCCACTCTACTCTATCTGCAGCAGCCATGCTTGGGGAGGAGGAGAGTCACCACCTCTTCATTGACATGTGCCACCTCAGGAAGGGGTAGGTTAATAGGGCTCCATTGCACAGACCCTTTGGAAAGTACACTTATTGGGGAGAGGCAAAAAAGGGGCATCCCTACCTATATGTCACAGATAGGCTGGTGGGGAGTGAGAAGGGAACTGCGTCCTTGGTGGTATTATTAGGGCAGGTAGGGTAAAAGGCTTCTGTCTTACAAAGCCTCCTTCTTGTCAGTCCTCTGAATGGAGGAAACAGGTTTTTCCTGGGACTTTTTTTTTTTGAGATGGAGTCTTTCTCTGTTGCCCAGGCTGGAGTGCAGTGGCACGAACTTGGCTCACTGCAATCTCTACTTCCTAGGTTCAAGCGATTCTCCTGCCTCAGCCTCCAGAGTAGCTGAGAATACAGGCACGCCCCACCATGCCCAGCTAATTTTTGTATTTTTAGTAGAGATGGTATTTCACCACGTTGGCCAGAATGGTCTCAAACTCCTGACCTCAGCTGATCTGCCCACCTTGGCCTTCCAAAGTGCTGGGATTACAGGCTTGAGCCTCCGCACCTGGCCCCTGGGCCTTTTTATTCTGTACCCTTTTGTGGTCTGAGTTGCTGGCTTCTCTAGCACACAAACCAAGATATAGATGAGACAAAAATATATAGGGAACTCACAGTCAAGGCTTCCTTCATCACTAGCCCAACCATCTTTTTGAATCCATCTTTCAAAATCTTCTGGATAAGTGCTTTAAGTGTATCCAGGGTGTTTGTTGAAATTAGCAGAAGTAGGGTGGAATGTGCTTATTCCATCCTGACTGGAACTTGAAGCTATCATTCTATTTTTATTACTAGTGAGATAGAATTTGTTTTCTATGTTTGTCATTAATTTTTATTTCCTGTCTTAATTACTTACTCATGTCCTTTGGCCAATTTCAAATGAGACCTAGATGTTGTTCTTATTATTTAATACCAAAACTTTATATATTTACTTTATACACTACCTGTTTACAGTAACTGTATTTTCTGTCAAGTAATTTCTCCAGGTTTTCTTTTTGTTTTCATTATTTTGCATAAATCTATAGTTTTTTTCTACTGTGATTTCTTCTTTTTACCTCCTAAGATCAGATAAGCAATCAGTTAAGACTTTAGTTTTATGTATTTGTTTTACCTTTAAATCATAATCTATCTTGAATTGATTTTTATTTTTTTGTGAAAAGTTGTGGTAACTTGATTTTTTTTTCTCTCCAAATAGTTATTGATTGTCCTGGAACTCTTGTTTACTTAGTGATTCTTTACTAACACATATAATTACTGAATGAATACGCTTTTTCTTCAAAGAAGAATTTCTTCACCACCCACAGCTTTAAGCCTAACAAATCATCTATTGAAATTTAAATAAGAAAATAAAGTCTAACTTCTCTTATAAAAGGTGACATAGAATCTCCTTGTGTTCACTCTTCTACCCCTCCCTCACCAATCCACATCTAAAGGAATAAACAAGTGTATGAGCCAAACAAAAGAAATAAGAAACACAAATTAAAAGGAGATAATTAAGTCTGGCTGTTCCATAATACTAATAAAGGAAGAAAATTCAGGAAGATAAAGGTTATTATAAAATCTAAAAAGGGAATTTAAACCACAAGCTTTCACTGTAGTCTGCATTTTCCTCCCTGGCTTTTGTGTTTAAAAAAATGAGAAACATATAAATATTTATTGCCATCTTTTCAAAATATAAAATTAAAATTGGTGTTCCATAAATAAGTGATTGTATCTTTCTCAGTTTGCAGATATTTCATGCTTTCCTGCTTAATTTTTTGAATTATTCAAATAATTTTAACTAACCACTTTAATAGCTATATAAATATAAAGACATATCTTCACCCTCAATTGCTCTGGCTTTTGTACAGAAGGGGGAAATATGCCCCAAATGTCAATTTCCTCTTGCAGCACTATATGTGGCTCGCACAGTGGAAGACGGAAGCACCATGAAATGTGGGATACACAAGATAACTGAAAATGTGAGATGTTCTTGATGAGTTGGTGGTGACCTTTGCAAATTTCTCCAGTTTTGAGGAATTGTCCTTGAGCAAGTCAGTCCAAGCAGATTTTATTTTATTATTTTGAGACAAGGTTTCGCTCCATCACCCAGAGTTGAGTGCAGTGGCACAGTCATGGCTCACTGTAGCCTTGACCTCCTGGGCTCAGGTGATTCTCCTGCCTCAGCCCCCTGACCAGTAGCTGGAACTACAGGCACATGCCACCACACCCAAGCTAATTTTTGTATTTTTTAGTAGAGGTGGAGTTTCACTGTGCTGCCAAGGCTTGTCTCAAACTCCTGGGCTCAAGTGATCCGCCTGCCTGGGCTTCCCAAAGTTCTGGGATTACAGGCATGGATCACTCCTCCCAGCCCCAAGCAGATTTTATATCATGATACTTTGGGCCAGCCCTCTTCTGATATAAATGGAATGCTTAGCTGTAGATATTGAGAGATTATCCTGTTTCCAAAGAACTCTCACTTATCCCTATCATTTCCAGTTATTCTCCATTCAAAACTGGCTGGGCTTGCTGTCTTAATCTATTTGGGCTGCTATAACAAAATATTATAAACTGGGTGGCTAATAAACAACATAAACTTATTTCTCACAGTTCTAGGGACTGGAAAATCTAAGGTCAAGGTGTCAGCAGATTTGGTGTCTAGTGATGGTGTACTTCCTGATTCATAGACAGCACTTTCTTGCTATGTCCTCACGTGGCTATAGATACAAGGCTCTGGGGTCTCTTTTATAGGCACTGATCCTACTCATGAGGGCTCTGCTCTCATAAATCACCTACCAATGGCCTCACTTCCTAATACTATCACATTGAGGATTAGGATTTCAATATACAAATTTTGACTGAGCGTAACAGTCTATAGCAGTCAGTCTATAGCATTCTGCCCCTGGTCCTCCAAAATTTGTGTACTTCTCATGCAAAATACATTCATTACATCCTAACAGCCACAAAAGTCTCAACTCTTTCCAGCATCAACTCTAAAGTCTAAAATCTAAAGTCTCATTTAAATGTCATCTAAATCATATATGGGTGAGACTGAAGGTACAGTTTATCCTGAGGCAAATTGCTCTCCATCTGTGAATCTGTGAAATCCAACAAGGTATGTGCTTCCAAAATACAATAGTGGGACAGATGTAGGATAGACATTTCCATTCCAAAAGGAAGAAATAAGAAAGAAGAAAAGAATAATGGATCCCAAGTAAGTCCATACTGCAAGGTAAAATCCATGAGATTTTAAGGCTCAAGAGTAACCCTCTCTGGCTTGATGTCTTGACCTTCAGGCCCACTGAGTGTGTCACCAGGAGACTGCCTGGCAGTCCCACCTGCAAAGTTCTGGCAGAGACTCTGTCTAGTCCTTGAAAGAAAGGCAATGGTCCCCCACTTTTGAAACCATGAGGTAGATGATCTCTGACTCTCCTTTGTGTTCACTCTTCTATTATCTTGAAGAATAGAGCACTAATTCTATGGTTCTCCTGTGAAAGCCAATAAATCTGACAGGTTTTCCTCATTCCTTCCCATCTTCATCAAATTAAGGATTAGGATTTCAACATATGAGTTTTGGGAGTTTACAATCAATCTATAATACTTGCTATATAAGACTTCTATAACAAACGCCTCTAAAGCTATAATGACATTTTAATATTAATGTCAATTACAAAGTATAAGCTATAAGCCCATTAGATAGAACTTTGAACCCCTGACAATGAGAACTCATGTTGACCTGAATGAACAGAGAGTATTTTGGTCATTAAAACTAAAAGCTAAGAATCTTTTTGACCAAGAAGGGAATTAACATTTAAAACACCTGGTTTGTGCCTTTGTACATTATATTATTTAACTGTCATATCTCATATCAGCAAAATCGGCACTATTTGCTCTATTTTATGGATGAAAGAAAATACAACTTAGAGAGATTATTTCCCTAGCTCAAGGCTGCAGAGTCAGTAAGTGAGGAGGTCAGCATTGAAATCCAAATATTGAATGACAAAGTCCGCACTAACCACCCTCGGACACTAGTGACACAAGAGATGATGTTAAACATGAAATCTGGATATATTGAAACTCAAAATGAGACAGTTATCCCTTAAAATTTTTTATCCTGATAATGTATAAAAGAAAATTTTAGTTTTATATTACAGCGTATGTTTCTGTATCTTTTAACATTTTTGTGTTCTTCATTTTCAACATAGAAGAGAAAGACTTCAGACTCAGAACATTAGGCCAGCAATAGTACCTTGCTAGAATTTAATAAATTTTTTAGTTTTCATAATTTGTATTTTGATTTTTCTCATCTATTTGTGCTAAGTGATACTGATTTTCCATCAGTAGTAGTAATACAAAGCTCCAGTGTTTAGATATATTTAATTTTAATGTGTCAATTTAAAGAAAAAACAGCATCTAAATATAAGTAATGGTGACATTTGAAAGACTGATGTGTGGGAAGCACATATTTTGTTTTAGATGTGATGCTAGAAATTCTTAAAATAATGTCAATGCTTGAATAATATGATGTGTAATTTCCTCTAAAATTTCTCAATATTCATTCTGTGCCATAGACAACTGAATTTTTAAAATATTGATCCCAGAACATGACAATGTTTTTCTTGCACCATAAAGAAAAGCTTATTGTTTCCATTTTGAAGGATTTTTAGCAATGTTATATACTAGATGAACTACCTAGAAAAATTGTAGTTTAAAAACAGTCCTCCACTCCTAGGTAAAATAACTTTTACCTGGAGTCCTACAGGTAAAATTCAAAAATTGACCTAGAACAATTATTCTAACAGTATATTTAAATATATTTTCTAAAGTTTCCATACTGAAGTTAACCTCAGGGAAGACTTTCCTTGTATCTTTGTACCTTGTACCTTTTTACCTTTTATCTGGTACCTTGTACCAAAAGCATCTAATGCAAATTTATTGACTTCTTCAATAAATATTTATTCAGTACCTACTATATGCTAAGCATTGGACACCTGGGATGTATCAGTGAACAAAATAGACATGATTTTATGAAGCTTGCCTTTGTAGAACTAATTGGAAAAGAGAAACAATAAATAATATATAATAATAAGTAGTAAAAAGAATGTAATAGCTGATTCGAAATAAGAAAGATTGGAAGGCAGGAGAGTGTTGAGATTAGGGTTGTGATTAGGGTTGTCTGAGCAGGCTTCATTGAAGGTGACATTAAGACAAAGACTTGAAGAGTCTCTCGCCAGTAAGAGTAGGTAGAGGAAAGTACAAGCACAGTCCCAAGGGAGAAGTTCAAAAAATATCAAGGAGACCTGAGTAGTTGTAGTGTAGGGTGTAAAGGAGTGGAATGGTGGGAGGTGAAGTGTCAGAAAGGAGATAGAATAACAATGATCTATCTTATCTTTTAAAAGATTCACCCTGTCAGCTGGTTGCCAGAAGAGAAATAAGAATGAAAGCTGGGGGACAAGATAGAAGGACATTATAATAATACAGGCAAGAGATGAGAGTAACTTGGACCAAGGTGGAGGTGGAGAAAAGTCATCATATTCTGGATATATTTTATAGATAAACAATTTCTGGATGAATTGGATATGGAGTGTGTAAGAACAAGAGGACAGTGCAGGATGGAGCATTGGAGGGTGAATCACTGTCACTGTAGCACAGGGATAAATTCACACTAGGTATTTGGCTGTTGGGCATCCAGATTTTAATGCAATCTTCTAAGCTCAAAAAGGTTAATATAAGAAGAAAAATATGTAAAGTGTGTGGGCTTTGCCTCTATGACCAGGTAGATCCGAATTATGACCACCACTTCTTGCTAGAATCTTCCATAGTGTTGACTTTTGAAGGTGTTTGTGTATGTGTGTATTTGTATAAACATAGGATCTTGTTAATTTTCATCTCTAAAACCCATCACTAATGACTTAATTGAAATGCAACTCGGTGTTCTGCTAGTAAACAGTCCTGATGTGTATGAAGTATAATATGAACAGTGATGTGTATGAAGGTATCTCAAAAACAAATGATGCTTAATCCAACCAATGTTTCCCCATCCTCTTGTGAAGAGTTGTCACTTCTGATTTATTCTAGCTTAGTATCATCAACATTTGTTAAGCAGTGTCCCACTGGGGTCTTTGCTCCTTGATTTGTTGTTTTTTTAAGTAATCATATGCTGATGAGATTGGGTTGCAGATAAAAGATAGTAACTAAATTGCACCAATGAAATATCAGTTTGGGTGATTCAGCAGAGGCACACATTTTATTTGACAAGTATTTACTAACCTTCGGCCATGTGCCAGGCACTGGGATCATAATGGTATAAAGATACTGTCCCTACCTCAAGGTGAATGATGATAAGGTATGTTTAGAGCTGTGACATTACTAGTGAATGAGGAAGAAAGAGATGGGTTTCAAATGTATATTATTTGTGTACATAGAAAACAAAGATATTCTATATAAGTTCTCAAAAAATACACCATTTCTCAAGAAACATACCATTAACCAAACTTCAGCAAAAGTATTTGAAGTGGTTTGCTGTGTCCCCACCCAAATGTCATCCTGAATTGTATCTCCCAGTATTCCCACATGTCATGGGAGGAACTCGATGGGAGGTGATTGAGTTATGGGGGAAGGCCTTTCCATTCTTGTGATAGTGAATGAGTCTCACAAGATCTGATGGTTTTAAAAACAGGAGTTTCCCTGCACAAGCTCTCTCTTTGCCTGCTGCCATCCATGTAAGACGTGACTTGCTCCTCCTCACCTTCCATCACGATTGTGCGGCCTCCCCTGCTATGTGGAACCTTAAGTCCAATAAACCTCTTTCTTTTGTAAATTGCCCAGTCTCAGGTATGTCTTTATCAGCAGTATGAAAACAGACTAATACAGTGTTCAAAGATTCTTCTCTCAAATAGTACCTGTCTCTGAGACTGAAGTTGTTTTGTTTTTTTGTTTTGTTTTGTTTTTAGAGTCAGGTCTTACTGTCACCCAGGATGGAGGGCAGTGATGCAATCACAGAAGCTCACTGCAGCCTCAAATTCCTGGGCTCAAGTGATCCTCTCACCTCAGGCTCCCAAGTGGCTATGATCATCAAGAAATAAGTCAAAATAAGAGTTCAAGAATACAATGTGTGAACTCAACAGTTCCCCTTCTAAATATTCATCCAAGAGAAAGAAATATAACCACCCAATGACTTACACAACATTGTTCAGAGCAACTTTCTTTGCAGCAGCTCAAACCAGAAATAATTTAAATTGCATTCCACTTGAGAATGGATGGACAAATGGTGGTATATTCATACAACGGGGCAACACTCAGCAATAAAAAGAAAAAATCCAATGCTTATAATAGCATGGATTAATTTTGTAGACAATTTTTTGACTGATGGGAGTCAAATATTAAAAGGTACATACTGTATGATTCTATTTACATGAACCAAAAATAACCAAAACTAAGCTAAGGTGTTATAAATTAGGGAGACACTTTCTTGGTTGATGAAAATATTCTATATCTTGATTATAGTATTGATTAGATGAGTATATACATTTGCCAAAACTCATTGAACTGTGCTCTTAAAATCTGTGCCTTTTATTATAGGTAAATTAGACTCTCAATGAAAAAAGAGCAGTGAGGGGAATAAAATTTAAGTATTGAGCAATCAGAAAATTACATTAAATAAATTTAGACTCTAAGCAATACAATGTTATAGTGGCTTTTTCTAGACAATAGGGATGCTACTGCCATATATATGACTTATCACATTAGGGTATTTTAAATTGTTTCTTCTGTTTCTTTCTCCCTCATTGAAATATGAGCTCTTTGCAGGAACCTCGTGAAGAGCTCAGATATGCTCTTTGTGAAGAGCATAATGCATGTCACAAGGTATTTTTTAAGAATCTGTCAGGTCCTCAGCCTAGGAAAATCATACAAGGTACCAGACTGGTATCTTGCAAGGTTTGCTTTGAAACTGCTCTATATTTATGTCTTGCCCCATCTGGATCTGCTCCATGTTTAATTCTCTCATTTTTTTCTTATTAGTTTTTCATTTGTTTCTATTACAAATTCAACTTAAAAAGCATACTTTCCTACATTTCCATCCCAACACCCAAAGGTGTTGACCTTTTCTTATGATATAATTAAGGGCCAAGATTGGAAGTAAGTATTCTAAAGCATAACAGCCATTGTGGTAAAAATAAAGGAATTCTCTAGTGAATTTGATTCACTCTGCTCTATTTTGCAGGTTTTTTGCATTATGGGTTATTGTGTTTAGGTCATAAAATGTTTCACATCTTGCTGTGCTAGCAGCTATATCTTATTTGTCCGTTGCTGCTTTTCTTCAACAAATACAAGTGAAATAAGGCAAGAGGCTACCACTGCAGGTGAGTCCATGAGACTGGCTGCCCATGAGTAGCCATGAATTACCATGTCTACCTAGTTTACCACAGTCTTGCTTCACTCCTGAATAGATGTACATTAAAGTCATGTGTGCAGTGAGGCAGCTTTTCATTACTGGCAAGGCTAAAGAAACTTTGGAATAAATGGCTCATTTTTACAATGCAAAGTCTGATTTCATACCAGAACACATTTTAGATTATTTGGTGTCTTTGGTTGGGCATAAAAGCAATTGAGAACTGGGCTGAAAGGGCTTAATGGTGTTTTATTTAAAGTGATAATCCTCTGAGGCATTATTCTTCTCTCAAATAGTACCTGTCTCTGAGACTGAAGTTGTTTTGTTTTGTTTTTTTTTGTTTTGTTTTGTTTTTAGAGTCAGGTCTTACTGTCACCCAGGATGGAGTGCAGTGATGCAATCACAGAAGCTCACTGCAACCTCAAATTCCTGGGCTCAAGTGATCCTCTCACCTCAGGCTCCCAAGTGGCTAGCAGTACAGGTGTCCACCACCACACCTGGCTAATTTTAAAAAATTATTTTTAGTAGAAATGGGGTCTTGCTATATTGCCCAGGTTAGTCTCAAACTCTTGGCTTCAAGTGATCCTCTCACCTCAGCCTACCAAAATGTTGGTATTACAGACATAAGCCACTGTGCCTGACCTGAGACTGAAGTTTTAAATGCATCTTTTCTGAATCCTATAAGAGGATTTCTGAGGGTAATTCAAATTTGTTCCTTTGAAGAAGAGCTATAATACACGTAAGAACTTCAAAATAGAGCAATCTCCAAAGAATAGGGAAGATAGGGAATTAACAGCGAGAAAAAGCGAACAAACAAACAAACAAAAAAACAACTTGGGCTGTCTGTGAAGACACAGAGCTCATTGGATTCTGATGACTAAGAAAAAGACATCCTGGTCAGGCCCAGGGGCTCATGCCTGTACTCTCAACATTTTGACAGGCTGAGGCAGGAGGATTGCTTGAGCCTAGGAGTTTGAGAGCAGCCTGGGCAATATAGTGAGACCCCATCTTTACAAAGAAAATTTTTTTTTTAATTAACCAGGCATGGTGGCAAGCACCTGTGGTCCCAGCTACTGAGGAGGCTGAGGTGGATTGCTTGAGTCTGGTGGGTGGAGGGGATGCAGTGAGCCAAACTGCACTACTGCACTCCAGCCTGGGTGACACAGTGAGACTCTGTTTCAAAAAACAAAAAAAGAAAAAAGAAAAAGACATCCAGAAGTCCTGATGTTTTAGAATATACAGTACATCTATGTGTCTACATTTACAGGGTGAGGGGTGCTCTGAAGAGCTCAACAAATGGTCCTATTGAAGGAAGACAATGTTTATGATGAGGTTTAGGAAAGAATGTTAGCTTAAAGAGCAAGTGACATCAATTTCTTCATTTACTTAACCCCTCTAAATTCTGAGTGACCTGATATAAGGAAGCTTATCCAAAAGGGGGCCTATAAAGACCCAAGGGCATATAGAATATAAACGCTGCTTGGAAATTTTTCTATGAATGTGGAAAATTACTTCCAACTCTGTCTTGCTGTTTTCCTTTTATTCTGACCTGTGTGGTATGAGAGAATGGATGAAAAGAAGGCTTATTAAAGCTCTGAGGTGGGGAGGCAACTCAGAATGTTCAGAAATCACTGAACAGAGTTAGAATACCTGATCTTGTCTCCTGGCCCTTATCTGTACAGAAAAAAATAAGGCTTTTATAAATTTCATTTCAGCCCATTCTAACTTTCTTTAACTCTGGCTCAAATCTTTTTCAGTTTGAAATGATCCTCGACCCTTCTCTTTTTCTATTTACCCAACTGTCTTCATGTGGAATAGTTTGTATCTTTAATCATTTGTGTTGTTCTTCATCAAAAGATGGTTACTGACAGAAGTTACCAATGTTTTTTTTTTTTTTTTGACGGAGTCTCGCTCTGTTTCCCAGGCTGGAGTGTGCAGCGGCATGATATCAGCTCACTGCAACCTCTGCCTCCCAAGTTCAAGTGATTCCCCTGCCTCAGCCTCTTGAGTAACTGGAATTACAGACACAACACCACACCCAGCTAATTTTTGTATTTTTAGTAGAGACAGGGTTTTACCATGTTGGTCAGGCTGGTCTTGAACTCCTGACCTCATGATCCACCCACCTCAGCCCCACAAAGTGCTAGGATTACAGGCCTGAGCTACTGCGCCCGGCCAGAAATTACCACTTTTTTTATTTGCTGCTCTGAGGCTCACTGTAAGGATTTTCTGCAAAAACTGCTCATATGGACCCCGTTTCTCACTATTACTTTCATTTGGAAAATTTATTACTATGACACCAAAAGCTGCTAAGGAATCTCCCAGTAGATCCCTTGTCGGGCTCTGAAGCTCTTAGGTCCTTCAAAGGGTCCTGCTTTTGCAAAATCAATCAACTCATTTCTACTCCATTGATGGTGGAAGTTCAAGTATCACATTTTATGAGAACAGGACTAGAGGTCCCACTTGAGTAGTTCCTTTAAGACTTCAAGATTCCATGCTGCTATGAGGAATGTTCAGGAATATCAAGCCCATTTTGCTTCCTGCTCCCCAATTTGCTGTCCACTCCAAGCCTCCATCCAAAGGTACTCCCCTGATCCAAGGTACTCCAGCAGCAAGCAGAAGGACACTTTTTATCCTTCTCTAGTTTGTCTGACTTTCCTAGTTCAGATTCATACAAAACAACAGACACCCCAACTAACTTTTCTCCTGAAAGGATTCATATGCTTAATCTGCTTTCATTTATACAACTTGCTGATTTTCCTCTGAGAGAAGTCTACACAGGCTTACTTGCTTAAATATGAATAAAACTGAGACCCAGAAACATTAAAAGACCAATAGACCGCCGACTGGTCTTAACCTCTGCAGTCCCACCCTCTTTCCCTCCATATTCAATAAAAGGATAAGGCTAGGCACCAGGTCATGCTGTATTTTCATCATGTTGTATTTTCAAAGGTTGCTGATGTACCATAAAAAATTCCGTCTTGATTATATACTCGAGTCCCCTGGTAAGCTGGGCATGGATAGTTAGATATGGATAGTTCTTTTTTAATCTTTGAGTTCTGTATTTCTTTTTAAGCCACATTTTTGCCCAATTCCTGTGTAATCAGATAACAAGAAAGATATCAGAGATCAAGTTTCATCTGGATAACTGGGTTATGATTTCATAGAATCATGGAATCACAGTGTTAGATGGGGCTTCTCACACCTTTCTTTATTTATATAAAGAATTGTATCTCACACTTTATTTATATAAAGTACTACAGACTAGAAAGTTTAAAAGACTTGTTCAACTCATTAGCTTTTAGATTTTCTGTCTTCTAGATCAGTGTTTTTATTTCCTGAGTGTTTAGTATGTTAAAGATTCTTTGTTAGATTCTGTATTCTGCCCTCTGAATCAAGAAACAAGCCCTCATTCATTCATTCATTTAACAAGAATTCATTGTAATCTCTTGCTGGGTGTTAAAGGAGCTGCAAAGAATTATGAAATATTGGTTGTACCCAAATCTTACAATCTGGTTACAAGTTTTAATGTGCATACTAGTAGCTCCATTTTTTTCATTTAAATAAGATAAGAAACATCTGGCTTGCTACACTTAATATTAGACTGAAAACAATATTGTTTTGATATATGGTCATTTAAACTCTGTAGCGTATGCTTATCTTTAAATATTTTGCAATGTGGCTGATGAAGGCAACTTGGCCTTCATACCTAACCTTTAAGGAGAGGGTGGTTGCAATGTGACTTTGCAACTCCAGTTATTTTTGCATTCATTAGAAGTTGCTTCAGAGATGTTCTAAAGCTCATCCTCCATCATTTGCTTTCAGTAAGGTTTTTAATTACCGCACACTCAGTGAAAATGAAAGTTCTGACCCTGTCTATATTCAGAACATATGGCACATTTCAATCCCATCAACTTGTGGTGATGGGATGTGACAGTCTCCAAGAGGCTGATTTCTGAACTGTGACATTGCCAAGCTTGTGCCTTGCTGGCATTTCTATCATGGAAGGCTCAAGAGCGTTGCAGTCAGTGTCAAATACAGGGGACCTTGGGCAATTTGCTAACCTTTCCACACATTCATTCGGTGAAAATTGCCCAGCAATCTGTAACTACAACCTGCAAGCTTGCAATGAGGACTGAATAGTATGTGAAGCATCTAGCACAATGCATGGCACATAGTATACTTTCAATAAATATTAGTTTCCTTCCTCTTTTTCCTGCATAAAAAAACTTGTGATAAGAAGTTAAGTGTACAGACCGGGCGCAGTGGCTCATGCCTGTAATCCCAGCACTTTGGGAGGCTGAGGCAGGCAGATCACGAGGTCAGGAGATTGAGACCAGCCTGGCTAACACGGTGAAACCCTGTCTCTATTAAAAAATACAAAAAATTAGCTGGGTGTGGTGGCACATGCCTGTAGTCCCAGCTACTTGGGAGGCTGAAGCAAGAGAATCGCTTGAACCCAGGAGACAGAGGTTGCAGGTGAGCCGAGATCGCACCACTGCACTCCAGCCTGGGTGACAGAGCAAGATTCCATCTAGAAAATAAATAAATAAATAAAATAAAAAGGAAAGAAGTGTACATTGCCACTTATTTCTGCCTCCTTGCTGAGAAATAAGGAAAGTACTTAAAAAACAAACAAGTTTAAATATATGAAACAGGAATACTTCCCAAATGGTCTCTAGTATATGGATTATTCTGTGGCTGCAAGAGTGAGACAGTGAACTGGATATATATACTTTTATGCAAGCTAAGTACCTGCTGACTCTGTAAAATTGTGTCTGGGCATTTGGTTCCCTGTATAGGTACAAAAGCTAGACAACTTTCCAAAGCAGACAAGAGCATCAACTTTGAGAGCAAAATAGCAAACTTATGATCAGATTATCTTCTCCTTGTTAAATTAATGAAATCTGAATTATATATGGATATGAAATTGGGGTGAATGTGAAAGGAGAAAAAAGAGAAAATGGTTATTTTCTAACCCTTGTTCATTCATTACTTTGGAAAGTGGTTCATTTGAGTGAAGGCTAGGGTTAGTCAGTCTATGCTAATCTGAGAATAAGGGAAACTGAGTTAGGGAACACATACAAATTTCTCTTTGGGATTTTTTGACAAAGAACCAAATTTCAAATCCTATAAAAGCAGTCTGGTCTCAAAATGACCAAATAGCTTTTGTTGTAGGCTGAAGATTTAAAACTCTATGTAATTTAGTTTCAAACTTGAAAAAAAATTTTATTGTACACAGTTGGCCCTTGCGTTAGCTTTATTGCCTTTTACTCTGTTTTGTAAATCCAGTTGCACTGAATTTACCAAATATAAGAATTAATTTTTTTCTCTACCTTGGTTATTAGGAGTATATGTAAGCAATCTCCCAAGATTACTGAAGTGTTTACCAATTCCTTCTTACTTCCTGGAAGTGGTATTTAACATTACACTGCTACTGGTAATTAGGAATAGAGAGTCCCTTGAAGAATTATTCGGGGTGGATTTTGTCAAGTTTTCCTATTGTTCAAAGGAGTTTATCAAATATAAATGGGAGGCATAAGGACCCCTGAGGAGACTCAGAGGTCTGGGAAGCAGGAAGGGATTTGGACAGCATAAGACTACAAAAAGTAAGATGATTTGATTTGTGGGCATAAGAATAAATGAGTAAACTGCAGTTATATGTGTGGAAATTTACATTGTCGTGCACAGCTATGTTCCTCCTTTCTAATACACCCTCATTTCCTTTTGTGAAAGGAATTACTCCCCAGTTTGTGTAGTCTTGATGGGAGAAAAATTCCATGTGCTCTCATCTACAGTGGAAACCAACACACCACACCCTTTCTGTCCTGTTCCTGATATAGCTGTGGCAGCCAGTCTGAAAAAATATTTTCTCCAGGCCTTTCATCTTGAATGAATAATGAAGGCTGGAAGGAATATTTGGAAGTCACACATCGCAGCAGCTACATCAGCAGAAGGGACAGCATCTGTCCAGAATTCTCACAATAGGGAGATTGCTGGCTTCCTGTTTCTTAGCCTTTCAGGGGTCCGTCCAGTTGCCAAACTCATTTCCCCAGCCTTCTGTGGATTCTCTCTAAATTCCCAGTATTCTCTAACAAATGTCCTTTTCTGTAAGTTAGCCAAAGCTAGTTTCTATTGCTTGCAACCAAGAAATTCTAACTTATCTAGGCCTTCATTTTAAGCTTGCCTCAAAATACATTACTCTTTATCAATGAAAACGTTGGATTATCAGTGGAGAATTCTTAAAATGAAACGGGCTCTGGAGATCCTGTAAGCCAACCTCCTCCTCCTCCTTCAGTTTTCTGGGGCAAATATGAGACATGTGTTGATTACCCTGTAAAATGTGGGAAGATTTTGGCATAAAGGTTAAGTGAGTTGGCAAGATATGTCTTTCCAAAAAATGGAAAGAAAGGGAACACAGTTCCCTTGAGACCTCTGTTGTTTACTTGTTGATGGATTGAGTTGATGTTGGACAGGCATAGGAATGGTGTGGCAAGAAGTATCATTTAAAACCTGTCCAATATAGCATTCTTCACCCTCAACTGCTCACCAGAACTGGTTATTTCTAGTTACTCTCTGCACTTGTTTCTTCAACTGTACAGTGGAGATGAATACTCACTACCTCATAGAAATACTGAGAAATTTAAAAGAGATGAGTGTGTGTTTCTGGGATCAGAACTTAACAAAATACTGAAAGTTATTTTTAAGAACAGAAATTGTTATGATATGCATTACAATGGGATTTTTCTGGATACCAGAACTTCTATTAGAAAGAGATGTTTGTAATAATTGCAAATGCAAAATAAGTAAAGCAAACATTATTTGCATAGTATGTGTTGCATATAGAAATGCAGCACTCAGGTCCCCCTGCAAAGGACTTGTTGCCCAGCTGCTGAGAATGCGGTTAACTGGCAGCCCCTGCAAGGACTGCCTCAGCTGCAGAGAGCCCCCTCACCAACGATCATGTCCTTCTGTGAGCAGCCACATTTATTGGCTGTTGGATTAAGGTGTGATAAATGTCCTGGCCATTTCAGCCCACTGTCAGACAGCTCTGTCAGGCCATGATAGCTCCAGAACTTCCCAAGAGATTAGGCAAGGCTGTCACTGGGCTGTCATCACAGCACAACTTCTCCTACTGCCCAACCTTGCTTGTTTCCCTTTCCTCCCACAGATGTTAGTCCGAAGGGCATTCCTCAATAAATATCCTGAATGCTAAACTCAGAATCTGCTTTCAGGGGAACCCAATCTACAACACCTTGTATTGGGCATTTTATATTGGATTGTTTTAGGAAAATTCTGAGATAGACCTAATATTTTTCCCATTGTAACAAATGAGGGAATTGAGATTCAGGGACGTAAGCAACTTGTCTAAGGAAACACATGAAGTGACAACACTGGGACTCAAATGTAGTTTGGTTTGATTCCAAAAGTCAATTCCTTCCAGAAATTATTAATATATCTCTTCTTAGTCTGAAAGAACAACTTTCTTCCCCAGAGGGAGCAGCTGGGCCCTGCGCTTTGGGCAGGGTCAAAGTCATACTTTCCACATCATTGTTTAGGTTGGTTCAGAGGAGATTTCCTTTTGCCTTTATTCCTTGGCATTCTTCTCTACTTCCTGTGTTAATGCCTATTGTTTTAGCCTAAAAATAGCAAGTGTCAGCTTTTACACATTTTCAAAAATTTCAATGTAATTATTTAAAAATAGGCTCCGAAATTTTGTTTTCTCTCTGTTGGCAACCGTGGTTGCTATGGAGTTCAAGTAATAGATTGTGATGTTTAACACTGAATTAATTACTACTTCTCACTCCTAGGGAACATCTAATTATACATATTCATGCCAAGCAGGATTTGGTTTTAAGGAAACTGTGCGTGTGTGTGTGTGTGTGTGTGTGTGTGTGTGTATCTGTGTGTGTCTGTGTGAATGTGGGTGTCCCTTTACTGTAAAATGCATACTGGGGAAGGGTCTTGGTTTGTGATCTTCTGTAAGACTTATTTGTCCTCCTTAATTACATTTTCTCCTACTAAGTCTAGCCTATATTGAGATCAAATTGTTCTCTTATTCATCCAAATGGCTTTTCCTTTTACATGCTAATGGTGGCCTCTTTTATTTTGAAAATTATGTTGAGATAAAGCAGAGTGATTTCCTCTATTTCTTCCCTCAGTTTTGTTCTCTTGATCACATGTATCATGAGTAGTGAAGTATTACTGGATGTATACTTTTGGAATCGTATATCTTTTGGAATCACATACCCTCCTGAGTCTGAAGCCTGGTTTGTTTGTGTTTTTTTGTTTTGAGATGGAGTCTTGCTCTGTCACCCAGGCTGAAGTACAGTGGCACAATCTTCGCTCACTGCAACCTCCATCTCCTGGGTTCAAGTGATTCTTCTGCCTCAGCCTCCCAAGTAGCTGAGTTTACAGGTGCCCACCAGTACACCTGGCTAATTTTTGTATTTTTAGTAGAGATGGGGTTTCACCATGTCGGCCAGGCTGGTCTTAAACCCTTGACCTCGTGATCTGCCTGCCTCAGCCTCCCAAAGTGCTGGGATTACAGGCATGAGCCACCACACCCAGCCTGAATCCTGGTTTTACCACTTACTTAATTTATGGCAGGTCATGTCAGGATTCAATCTCAACAACTTCCTAAAATGGGGATGTTATTATCTACTACATGGAGTTAGCACAAAGATTCAATCAGGTTTTAAACAAAAACATTGTGCTTCTTGTTTCTCAAACTTTAATATGCAAGATAGAGATCTTGCTAAAATATAGATTCTGATTCAACAGGTTAGGCATAGAGTCTAAGGTTTTTCATTTTTGACAGCCTCCCAGTTGATGTTGATGCTGCTGTTCCATGGACCACACTTTGAGTAGTGAGAATTTAAATAATGCTGGGCACCTACACAAGGTCAATGCATTTGCAGCTATGAGTATTGGCCTTTAATTAGTCTTTATCCTATACCTTTTGAACAGAAGAGCACAAAAATTCACACCTATTAGTGACATGGAGAAACTAAGGCACAGACAAGCAGATCCTATAATGTTAAGATGACTCCACTGGATGTCTCTGCTGCATTTTGTAGCCTTACGCTGTGAAGCTTCTATTTTTCCCTGTATGGGCTGTTGCAACTCCTGCTGCTCCTAATGGGAGTTACCCAAGCATGTGTTGAGGGAAGAACATAAATCCTGTGGTGTTTTTATATACTCAACTAATAAAGCAGTTTTGTGTTTTCCCAAAAAAAACCAATTTCTTGACACTGACAGTAAGGCATTGAAAAATTTACACCTGTTGATTGACTCATCAGATGACCATTTAAAAAACCGGATTTAGGGTGTTCCTTTGAAAATTGAGCTGTGGCTCAAAAGCTTATGAGACCTAAGTGGTTGAAATTGCACCAAGCCACAAGGTGCACTTTTTAAATACTGAAATGCAGCCCCTTGCTTAAGAGATCCTGAGATTCTTACAAAACAAGAGTTGGCAACCTTTCAGATGTGAGTAGGTGGTGTTTCTTTTATTTATACTCTTTTCATTTAGGAGAGGTGGTAAAATGTTGCTTATTCAAGAAGGTTAGGACAAGACTTTTCTGTATCCCTTTTCAGTCATTCAAGAGAATACGTCTCTCTGTAACTTCTGCCATGAACATCAGTAACATCATTTTATGTTTCGTGGGCCCCCTGGCTTCTTTCCAGGAATTTCTGTGTTGTTCTGGCCTGCACTTTTCAATCATTTTTCCCTTGCTGGCCTTTGCCACTCTATCTTTTTGCATCTTGGACCAAGGCTAATACGTACCTACCACTCTTCTTTTTCCCTCAGGCTTTCCTTCATCCACATCTCCATAGGACAGGGTGGAAAAACAAGGATCACCAAAGCCCTCCAATGGCTGTCTTGGCCCAACATGTTTTGACTCCTTGCTAACTTCTCTGACCTCCTGTCCTACTATTCACCCCTCATTTACTGCATTTGAGCCACATAGACTTCCTTGCTGTTTCTTGAATATAACAGATATATTCCGCTTTAGGGCCTTCCGTTGTTTCCTTTGCCTAGAACTCTCCCTGCTCCCAACCCCTTCATAGCAGCCTTGGTAACTCCCTCCTCTCCTTTAAGCCTTACCTTCGCAATAAAGCCTTCCCTGACTATTCATTTAATATCGCAAACTGCACATCACGGCTACACTCCCACTCCCACACTCCAGTTTCCCCCAACCCTGCTTTGCTTTCTCTTTTTTCCATAGTGCTTGTGACCTTTCCACATGTAGTGAACCAAAGTATTTGCACCTCCTCATCCTTTCCCAACATTGCTGATGTGTGCTGAAAATGCCCTTTACGCCCACATTAGGCAAATGTAAGTCTTCAAAAACAGCAGAAACACTTCTTCCTGAAGAAAAGTTAAAGCTGTTCTATGTCTTAATTTTGATGGTAGCTATACAAGTATACACATTTGTCAAAACACATCAAAATATACACTTTAAGTGGGTGCAGTTTACTGTATGTAAAATATACCCCAATAAAGTTGATTTTTAAAAAGACGGTATAATCATAGACCTTGGGTCATGGTGTAGGTATGGGGTAGGCTGACATTATAGGGTAGGGGTAGAAGTTGGCATTTAGGAAGGTATATTTCTTCCTGGGAAATAGTGTGGACAAAGAGGTCAGTAAAAAATTACATAATGCAAATCACTCCCTCTGGCTTTGAGTGACTAGAGAAAATCCCTGGGTGTTAAGCTCATTTGCTTTGTCCTTGTTGGCTCTTCTCTTACTTGTAGTTACTGTTAGAAATGAGAAGATCTCAGGTCAGTTTAGTTGTATCTTGTTCTAAAGTGAGTTGATTCCGTTTCAATCCTAAAAGTGGTGGGGATTCGAATCTAACTCAGAAAACTGCAGTTTTCATCTGAGAAGAAAACTGCTCGTATTTCCTGTTTGAAAAACAAGCTAGGAAAAGTAAATGATTGATCTCTTCTCATGTTAAATCCATCCAAAAATTCCCATTTTAAACTTTTCAAAATGAGTCAGGCAAGTCTCTGATGGGAGAAAACACAGTCAAGGAAAGTAACAACAATAAAAAGAAGATATAAAACTAAATTCCATTGCCTATGAAACACTCCCCATGATAGCATGGAAGGTTTGAGAAAAACTCATCAGTATCTGAGTATCAGTCTTAGCCCTGGACATATTAAAACCTATTGTCCTAAACTTGGAAAAGTCTTTAAAATGCTCATAGAAGCACATATAATTAAGTAGCTATAATTACAGTGGGTTTTAGGATCTTTTTCCATACTCCAAGTATTCTATATGTAACAGAGAAATCTAACAGCTGACTCCATCTTGCCTCTAACCTCACGAGCTAACTGCCTTTGCTCACCCCTGCACATAGGCCAAGCTAACTATGGGAAGAACTTAGTTTATAATTCAACTTTAAAGCAAGGATAATAGTCCCTTCCCAAAACCAACTCCTGAGTATATAAGGAGGGTGTACACACAAGTAGCAATGTTATGCTAAAGATTTATAGGAACACTGTGAACTAACCAAAGACAAAGAAGTTCTGCAAAATCTCTGGACCCCTCTGCTGATACCCAGATGTCTGTGGTCACTGGTTGCCTCCTGATCGCAACCCCTTGTTTGTTCCCCTTTCCCCAGTATAAAAAGAAGCTTGAGAGTCATGTCTTTTCAGATAGTTCTTTAGGATATAAGTCCACCATCCTCTTGGTTTGCTGGCTCTCTGGAATAAAGTCACCTTCTTTGTTCCAACACCTTGTCTCTCGACTTACTGGCTGCCAGGTGGCAAGTGGCACAAGCTTGGACTTACTTACATATATATATAGGCAGGTTCTGGAATCTTCCCATACTGGAATAGATGGCAGGGTCCTTGTAAAGTACTCCATGACATACTAAAACTTCCATTGCTCTAAATGTTATCAAGAGGATGTATCTGCCTGTATCCTGCTCCCTCACGCTAGAATTTAGCTAGCAAATATAAATCTTGTGTGTGAATGCGAGAGGTCAGATTTATTTCAGGTGCTCTTAGATGTCTCCCTAAAGTTAACCCCATTTTCAATTCTTATCCAAAGAATTTTTTTTCCCATCTTCTCAAGTAAAAAGTATTTGAGAATGCTTTCTTTTTCACTTTATTTATAATATCAGTTTTCCAATTTTTTGATCTCAGAACCTAATTCCTCATATCATTCTTTAAAATATCTAGTGATTCTTTCTGATTTGCATGCTAAATAATACTTCCTTCTAATCCTTTACATCTTATGGATATTTTTAGATTGCTACCACATCCACATTTACCACCTTCTATTGCTCCCTACTGGGTCTGCCCAGCTAAACTATACGTATTTAACTCTTCCAGTCTTCCGTTATCCACCAGACCAACCAGTCTCTTAAAATGGTGTTGGCCTCCTTTAGAACTCTTCTTGATTGTTGATGCCCTGTGGCCCTGCAGATCATCTCTCTGAGATGGCATTTGAAGGCACTCTTAAAATTGCATTTCAGGCCGGGCGCGGTGGCTCACGCCTGTAATCCCAGCACTTTGGGAGGCCGAGGCGGGCGGATCACGAGGTCAGGAGATCGAGACCATCCCGGCTATAACGGTGAAACCCCGTCTCTACTAAAAATACAAAAAATTAGCCGGGCGTAGTGGCGGGCGCCTGTAGTCCCAGCTACTTGGGAGGCTGAGGCAGGAGAATGGCGTGAACCCGGGAGGCGGAGCTTGCAGTGAGCCGAGATCCCGCCACTGCACTCCAGCCTGGGCGACAGAGCGAGACTCCGTCTCAAAAAAAAAAAAAAAAAAAAAAAAAAAAAAAAAAAAAAAAAAAAAAAAAATTGCATTTCAATATTTTATGCTTCCATTAAAAATAAGCAATACAGAAAGAGTCTTGTGGTAGTGATTAATGATGTTTGTCAAGTATTCCTAGTTTTCTCCCTTCTGTACACACGGTAGGAACGCATTTCCTGGGCCCTTATGATTGGCAGGGGCTTGTGACTGGCAAGTGAGTTATGAGTAATGAATCACTTCCAGACCATGAAAGACCCTCTAGAGTGCTGTTTTCTCTCTAGAATGGTGACTGCCAATGTTCGAGATAGTGGCTGCTCTGTTAGCCTTATTTCTTGAGTTGCTACAATGAAGAGAAACTCTTATGCCAAGCTCTACTGTCCATGTAACAAGAACAAGGAGTATACTCTTGTCATTTTAAGCCTCTGAGACTGGGGAGCTGTTTGTTATTGGAGAATTACCTAAGTTGTCCTAACTGATACAACTCTAGCAGATACCCTTAGATGCCCCCATGTATATAGGTGCCTATGTTACACTCAGCAGTCTGTTATAATATAGTTCTGAATATGTGAACATGGCAAATCTCTACTGGATCCTATACCATATAAAATTGATGCCTTTACCTAGACCCTTGCCGTGTGTCAGTCAGATAGAAATCAGTCCAGAAGAGGTAACACATTCTGAACCTCTTGTCAAAGACACAGAGACCCAAGATACAGAAAAACTAGGTATCCCCCAAATCTTCAACACAAGAATTTCAAAATCATGTCTGGTATAATTAAGCATATTGGATCTTGGACTCAAATACTGTGACAGCAGCAGGAATAAATAAGTGTTCTGGGACTTCTCCTTCCCAGAACCCAATGCTTCATAGCACACAAATTACTCCTTCAGCTGGCTGCCATTTGATATTTCTATTTAAAAATGAAATCAATGAGCTTATTTTTCCACTGAAAAAATGGTTAACCTGTTTCTCTCAGACTTAGATAAAATGGAATGTTTTAGATAAGCTACTTTTAAAAGATTTTGAATGTAACTTAATATCATCTTGGTTCATATTTTAAATGTGTGTATGTATGCATATGTGTGTATACATACATACAATATAGAAAAAATATATTTTAAATATATATTTTAAATAAATACATATAAATAAAATATATTTTTAAAATATGTATTTTTCTATATTGTATGTATACACACATACATATATACGTTTGTATATACATACTATATATATATTTAAAAAACGTGAATGGATTTTTGATATGTTAACTCCTTCTATTCTATTACAACTACTCTCATTTCCCTCTTTTCTTTTCAATCTTTATCACTATGGAAACATATTTTACAAACTTCAATTTATATTACACATAGAAATTTTGTTCTTTGTATTTTATCTGCCATTATTTTATGGATTCTTTAATTTCAACATAGTCTTCCCAGATTTTCTCCCATTTTTATCGGAATAAGTTTCATTAGACTGAAATTCTATTAAATGATGTGAAATTGCCATTTATAGGTCAAAAATAGTTGAAAAGACAATTAAGTCAATATAATACAATTTTCTTAACTATTCTTTAGTGGTTGAACATGCTGATTATTTTCAGATTTTAACCTCAGAATAAGTTTTCTTTAAGTATCCTTATTCATTGATTTAAAAACTACTTTTTTAGTATATATGCCCAGATATAGGATTACTACCTAAAATGTTATTCTTTCCTTTATTCCTTTCTGGTGAACTTCCATGTATCCTTTGAGATCCAACTCAAATGTTTCCCTTTTTGTGAAGACATTAAATATTCTCCCTGCTCCCCACAACACTGTACGTATTTTGCAGCACTAACTCTTCCATGGCTCCTGAAAGTTTCAGTCTACAAGTCTGCCTTCACTGGCCTCTCAGCTGTAACTTACTCTCTTGTAAGTCATCTGTGTTGCTAACAGTGCTTGGAACACAGTAAATGCTCAATATGTGTTATGAAATGGAATGAGTAAATGGTTGTGCATGCTCTCAGGCACACAACATTTGCATGTGATATTTGATATTTAGCCCTAGGGCTGTTGGTCTCAAGGCAGAGCTCTGAAAAGCTCAGATTCTTTTGTTTTTATTTGAAGAGGTGGGAAGTGTGCTTTGAGCTAATTGACAACCAGTAGGCTCCAATATCTTTGTTTTTGCCCCTCAGCCCTGGTTCCTACCTTAACTGGATATTCACCTTTCTTGGCATCATACTGTGCTAAATATTTGTCTTTGACTTTTTCCACTTCCTGAGCATTCATTTTGTACCTGCCCTCCACTCTCCAAGTTCAATCTCTTTAGTTTGCTTTCACCTTAATGTCTGTAACTTTATTGATTCTTTAAAAGAGTTGTTTTTATGTAAATGCTTCCTGTTTTTTTTTTTTTTCTTCCAATTTTACCAACTTATTTCCACCTTCTCTATTCCTTCTTGGGGAGCCATAAAGACTGCATCCTAATTGCAATCCTGGATGATTTTGACTAAAAGTTAGGGTATAGGGTAAAATTCTCTAATTTGTTCTTTATGGACCTGAAGACAGGCAGGCAGCACACTAAAATTTCTAGTGAGGACTATTGATTTCCAAGCCCTCCTTCATGGACGGCGCACTCTCCTATACTTAAATATCAAGCAATACCCTGCAATAGTGCTTCTCTGAAAAGTAGTGTTCTTTCTTTTGCCAGTTGTTAGCTGTGTGACCTTGAGCAAGATGCTTAACTCTTTGAGACTGTTTCCTAACCAGGATATTTATAGCTATCACATGAAGATGAAGAGGTTAAGTGAGATGATGCACTTAATATTTCAACTCCTTAACACAGTGCCTGACACAATATCCATGCTTCCTAAGTATTGATGTACTCTTTATTTTGAAATGTTTCATCCTGATTAACTATACTATTTGTTAACTTGAGAAAATCTACATAATGCCCTCCCGCTGGGACACTCAGAGGACTAAGAACTTTTATATAAGGACTAATTTGAATAATATTCTCAGAGAGAGACTTAGAGGCAGGGTTGGGACAGAAGGAAAATGTGGAAGGGTGAACTCCCATGGAAGGTACTTTGAATACATAGTAGAGGCTTCAGTTCGTACTAGGTGACTTTTCTGCTGGATGCAAAGCCATTCACTGAGTTGTCCTTCTTTCATTTCTCTTACCATGCTCTAATGTCCCAACTCAACATATTTACATTATTTCCAGATAGGAAAACATCTTTATATATATATATTTTTTAAACCACTCTACTGAGATACAATTTACATATAAAAAGCTGCACATATTTAAAGTATACAATTCCATGAGTTTGAGAAGTATATACCCATAGAACCATCACTATCATCAAGACCATAAATATATGCATCATCTCCTAAAGTTTTCTCCCACCTCCTTTATTATTAAAATTGTTAATATGTGTATGTGTGTGGTAAGAACACTCAACATAAGATCTACCCTCTTATTGTACACACTTCAAGTATATAATACAGTATTGTTAGCTATAAGCATTATACTGTATAATAGATCTTCAGAGCTTATTTATCTTGTGTAACTAAAACTTTGTACCCTCTAATCATCACTTTTCCATTTTCTCCTTTCCTGGTAACCACCATTCTACTCTCTGCTCTATGAGTTTGACTATTTTAGGTTCCATATATAAGTGAGATCATACAGTATCTTTCTATTTCTGGCTTATTTCACCCAGCATAATGCTATTCGGGTCTATCAAGGTTGTCACAAATGGCATGATTTCCTTCTTTTTTAAGGCCGAATAATCTTCTATTGTATGTATACACCACATTTTCTTTATCCACTCATCTATCCATGAATGTTTAGGTTGTTTACATATCTTGGCTACTGTGAACAATGCTGCAATGAACAAGGCAGTGCAGATATTTCTTCCAGATCCGAATTTCAATTCTTTTGGATGTATACCCAGAAGTGGGTTTGCTGGATCAGGTGGTAAATCTATTTTTAATTTGTTAGAACTCTCCATGCTGTTTTCCATAATGGTTGTATCAATTTATACTCCCACCAACAGTGTACAAGGGTTCCCTTTCTGCCAAATCCTCACTAACACTTAACTAACACTTACCTTTTTTTAATCTATGATTGCCTTCCTAACAGGTGTGAGGTGGTATCTCTTTGTGGTTTTGATTTGCGTTTCCCTCATGTTTATATTTTCTTGGGAGAAATGTCTATTCGGATCCTTTGCCATTTTACAATCAGGTTATTTGGGAATTTTGTTTTCTATTTGTGTGTATGCTATTGAGTTGTAGCAGTTCCTTGTATATTTTTTATATTAACCATTTATCAGATATATGACAGACAAAAATATTCTCCCATTTCAGAGGCTACCTCTTCATTTTGCTGATTGTTTCCTATGCTGTGCAGAAGCTTTTCATTTTGGCATAAACTTGTTTATTACTTTTATTGCCTGTGCTTTTAGTGTCATATCTAAAACATTATTGCCAAGACCAATGTCAAGAAGCCTTTCCCCTACATTTTCTTTTGGAAGCTTTATGGTTCCAGGTTTCACATTTAAAGCATTAATATCATTATATGTTTATGAGTTCTCTACTTCTTTCTCCTCCTCCTCGTCCTCCTCTTCTTGATTCTTCTCTTCCTTTTCTACCTCCTTATTCTCTTCCTTCCACTCTTTTCTTCCTTTCCATGACTCCTTTTCAATTCTTTTTCTTGTGTATTGCAAAAGAAGATTTTTGTCTATTGCAAGGATAAAGTCTAATATCCTGATTACTTAAACCTACTTCAGATAATTGATGACCCTTAAGAAATACTGTCAGCTTTTTTAGCCTGGTCCCCTTGGAAATATTTATTACCTTTTTGTGTTACATTTGCAAATCTCTACAATAACCTATCAGGTGATATTACCTTTTCTCATTCATATTAAATAAACATTGAAGCTTATGATTTGTTTGTCCACATTTGATTTCCTATTAGCATATATTCCACTGGTTTTCATTAACCCAGGTGTATTTCAATTGTCAATCTTATCTAATATTTATTACCACACAGTTGTGTTTGAGCCTTCATATTTTGACCTCACTTTTTCTGGGTATTTATTAAAGCTTTGTGTATAAAGCGGGAAGGGGTATTCACTTTCTCTTGCTTGTTATAACAAATTACTGCAAATTCAGTGGCTTGAAGCAACACAAATTTATTATCTTACATTCTGTGTGTTTTAAGTCTGACAGATCTCACTGGCTAAAATCAAGGTGTTAACAGAGCTGTGTTCCCTCTGGAGGATCTAAGGGAGAATTCATCTTCTCATCTTTTCCATTTCTTAGAGGTCACCTGCATGTCTTGGTTTATAACTCTATTGCCTCATCCTTAAACCAGTAATGATGGGTTGGGTTGTTCTCATATCACATCACTCTGACCTACTCTTCAGCTTCTCTCTTCTACTTTTTAGAACTAGTGATTACATTGGACCCACCAGGATAATTTAAGATAATCTCCCTATATTAAGTTCAGCTGATTAGCAGCCTAATTTCCACCTGCAACTTTAGTTCCCCTTTGCTATGTAACTAACATATTCACAGGTGTACCCGCACACATGCACGCACTTACACAAGCATATATGTCTACACTCTCCAAAGAGATGTTCTGTATCATTAGAAAAACCACAGGCTACTTTTACCAAAGATACATGTTCCGTCCATTCTGATGCTTTTGGGTGAAGTATCTTCTGGAAAATTACTAGCTTATATTACAGTGCTTAGTTTACCGTTTACAAAAATCCCTTTCAATACAATAAATTCTTCTGTAAATGGGCAAAGAATAATTTTATTCTTTTCCATTTTATAATGAAAACTGGCAAATTGCCACATTTCTTTTTCTATATTCTAAGAACCTCAATACTGAGTTTATTAGATAGGTTTTCTCACAGAATGTTTCTTTACTGCTTTTTCCCTAATTTTCACAAATAACACATGAAACAGTTCTATTCAAAATATTTTAAAGATTGTATAATGAGCTTATTTTTTGAAAATTCAAATGATATAGGATAAGGCAAACTTGTTGCTACATTTTGATGACCAATTCTTAAAAAATAATTATCTCCCATCTTTTTTTTTCTCTTTGAGTTTTAGTTTGAGTAGTTTCTATTGATTGATTTTTGAGTTCACTGACACCTTATCAAAGTATTTCCTCATTATAGTGACTGTGGTTTTTATTTATAAGATTTCCATTTGACTTTTTCTTATAGTTCCTATAAATTCTTCTTTTATGCATGTTGCCCACTTTTTCCACTAGAGCCTTAAAATATCAGTCAATTGTTATTTTAAATCCTCTGTCTGAGAGTTCTAACATTGAGCCATTTTTCAGTCTAATTCTGTTAATTAATTTGTCTCTTAACAGTGAGTGGGATTTTTTCTTGCATTTTTGTGTGTTTTGTAATTTCTGATTGAATGATGGACATTCCGTTTAGGACAGTAGACTCTGGGGTAGAGTCCTTATACCTGAAAGTGGACATGCCTCTTAAATTGCTCTGCTGTTAGTGTGGGGACTTGAGTCAAACTAGCCAGGAGCTGAGCTGAGTTTCAGTGTTGCTGCTATGGTTACTTTCAGTTCAACACTGGCTTCAAAGTCCTCTAGCATTACCTTATGCTTCATGCCAGAGAGTTTTTCTCAATGCCTCCTTCCATTTGCCTTTGTCATTCATTCATTCATTCATTCAACTAATAACGATTAAATATCTTCTATTATGTACCAGGCACTGTTCTAATTATATAAAAATAAGACGGGCAATATTCTTGCTATCATGGAGAATATATTTGAACATTTTCTACTATTTCTTTTGCTTTTAAAATACATGTTCATTTTAAAAAATATATTTTAAAATAATAAATATACAGGTGAGAACGTGGGGAAATAATTTACCTCATATTTTTCAGATTAAGATATTAATGGCCATGCTCATTTCAGAGGATAATTAGGCCTAACTGAATTGTATATTTTAAAAGTGTATTCCCCTATGACCCAGGGATTTCACTTTTCTTTTTTTAACCTAGAGAAATAAATGTACATGTTTACATGGAGGTTAACACTAGGACATTCACTACTACATTGTTTTAGAGAAAAATTGAGGAAAAAATAGATGTCCATTAATAAGAGAATAGACCCTAGTTCATGCATACACTGTGAAATAACATGCAACAGGTATAATAGAGTAGATCTGTATATAATGACCTAAGTATCTCCAAAGCAAAATGTTTTTTAAAAAGTATAAAATTATATATGCGATATGATACCTTTTTAGAAACAATTTTTAAAACCCAAAACTATAAATTTGCCTGTGAGATGCCCTTTGCCCTGAACAAAGGCACGTGTGACTTTGTGGTGCTTCAGTGTCTGGCTTGGGGCAAGGAAACTTCTGTTCAAGTGTCCCTTTCCCTGATACCTACACTGACACCCATCATACTCTTTTCCCTCTAGAGGGTCACTGTGTCCCCTTCCCTTCATCACCACCCCCGCCAGGCACTGGCAGCATAGAATACTGGTTCCTGATCTCTAAACTCTGAATTTCCTAATAATTTATGGCCTTAACACAAATGCAGGTCCCTTGTCCTGGTGTTATGCATACCTTTCTCTTTCTCTTATCTCTTTCTCCTAATCCTGGTAAACCTCTAGTGTGAATAAGAGAAGCTTCACTTTACCTCCTGTCTCTGTTTAAGCAATTTGGGGAACTGTGAAAACTACAAACTTCCTCCCTTCTTAACCGTCTCTCAGAATGGATGTTAGGTTTTTCGAAACAAATCCAGGAAGACTTTTGTGACATTCATTCTTCCTTTCATGCTACCACCTCGTTCTCCAGAGGCAAGGGACATGGAGTGACCACATGTTAGAAACCAGAGCAAGAAAATGAGGGAATAGCTTTGTTGTAGTTTGTGGCTTCTAAAAGTGCCTAAGAGATATTTTTAAATAAAATTTTCACTTTTTCCCTACACTTGTGTCTTAACATCTGCTGACCAAGTTTATTGTGTTTTCTTGCTCCAGGCTGACAACTATAAAAATTGTTCCTATTTCTTTTTTTTTTTTTTTTTTTTGAGACGGAGTCTCACTCTGTCACCCAGGCTGGAGTGCAGTGGCACAATCTCGGCTCACTGCAAGCACCGCCTCCCGGGTTCATGCCATTCTCCTGCCTCAGCCTCCAGAGTAGCTGGGATTACAGGCGCCCGCCACTATGCCCGGCTAATTTTTTGTATTTTTAGTAGAGACAGGGTTTCACCATGTTAGCCAGGATGGTCTCGATCTCCTGACCTCATGATCTACCCGCCTCGGGCTCCCAAAGTGCTGGGATTACAGGCATGAGCCACCGCGCCTGGCCAATATTTTAATTTTATGTTCTAATTAATATTTAAGGCAAAGTTCATATTTTAAATTAAATATCATTTAGTTGTATGAGGAAGGATGGCTTCCAGCCAACAAAAACGTTCTCCTTAACTTCCCAGATACTTTTAGGAAGACTCAGATAAAGTTTCAAGCATCCAGTTATATTTAAGACCTGCCTGAATATGGCTGCACAGTATCTAATATCTAAGTTATTCACTAGCATGGTTCTAGCTGCATGTTAATAAAAGTAAAATGACTGGAATTTCATGATTTCCGATTATTTATATGTACATCTGGAAGATTTTATTTCCCAAAGAAGGCTGCAATAATACATTTTATTCCACATGCTCCTCTTAAAATGTGACCTTTCCACATTCATAGATATGACAGGCAGAGTCTATTTCTCTTTTTCCTGGACTTGGGCATATCTTTGTGACTGCCTCAACCAGTAGGGCACAGTGGAAGTGTCACTATATAACTCGTGAGGCAATGAAAGAGCTGCACCTTCTCCCTAGATCTGTCTTAGAACACTTGCTTTTGGTACCCAGTCACTACCATCTCACACCCAGCTGTGAGGAATCCCAGGTTACATGAAGAAACCATTTTTATAGGTGTTCTGGCTGACAGCCGGCATCACCCAGCAGACATGTGAGGGAGGCAGTCTTCAAGATGACTCCAGTCCCTGTTAATGTCTAGTTGCAACTTCATGAGAGACTCTGAGTGAGAATCATTTAGCTGAGCCTACCCAATACCCAGACTGTATGAGATAATAATAAATGAGGATCGAATTTGTTTAATACCTTTAAATTTGTTGTTTTGTAGACAGGTATAACTAGAACAGCACATTGGACCAAAAACAACCCTGAATTCGAAGTGTCAAAATTGTTGAAATCACTGGCTTGTGGTTTCACTGATACTAAATTTTTCCATCCATCTCTTTATCTTGCCACAAACATGGGAAGCACGAGAGCTCCCTATCTCATACATCTGCAAAATTGTACTTTACACTAGCTATCCAAAATAATGTATCTTTCCAGGGCACCAAGGAGAGCAAGCGATGGCCTTCCCAGGGAAAAACACATCTTTCAGTTTTGCAGCAGGTAGTGTATGATTCATACATGGGCTGATTGGATGGGAATGAGGAGAGAAAAATCACAGAATGGGCAATAAGAATTCTGTTGGTTTGACTCAAGGCAAATGAATCTGGGAGTACTCAGGATAGTGCTCATTTTGGAATTTAGTCTGCTTGTGACTATTTCCCTTAAATAATAAACCATTCAAAACCTAGTGGCTTAAAAACACCATTTCTTTAACTCACTATTATGTGAGTCAGCAATTTATGCTGTGCTTAGTTGGGCAGTTATTCTGGTCTCAGATGGACTTTCTCATGTGTCTGTGCCCAACTGCAGATAAGGCCTCGCTGATGACAAGGGCAAATGGGAAGACTGGGCCACATGTCACTTGTTCTCTATCAGGTTAGCCTGAGCTTAGTCACATGGCAGTGGAATAGTTCCAAGAGAAAGAGCAGAAGCATTTAAGCCTCTTCTGGCCTTGGTTTAGAACAGGCACGCTGCCACTTCTACCACATCCCATTGGCTGAAGCAAGTTACAAGGCCAGCCCAATACAAGGGATGGGGAAATACACGATACCTTTTCAGCAGATGAATTGAAAGTCACATTGTAAAGGATGTAGAACACAGGAAAAGGTAAAAGAAAACCATTTTTGTGATCATTTAGCCCTTGTTTTGGTTTATTATTGTGCTAGTCCTACAGATCAGGTTATATAAAGCAGTCTGATATGAAGTAAAAACAGCTGGATTCTAGGCATTTATTCACAAGGCTCGAGTCATACCTCGGGAAGATATAACTAGGTTTGTGAGTAGTTCACATATTCTATAGATATTTATAATTTGTATTTTTTAATACTTGCCAGCTGCTTGACATTAACATTTTCCCTGTAGTGTCCCAATTTCTTGTGTCTGAAATCATACGGGTTCTGCTTATAGCAGACAAACTGAGTTCCACCGAGATATACAGGTTGGTAATGATTAAACCAGTGTGAATGAATAGGGAGGAGAAAAGTTTCAGAACTTCTACCTGATAGTTGAATCAGAGAATCACAAATGTTCAGTGGTAAAAGAGAATTTCAACTAACCCCTTTAACTCTGATGGGATGGATTAATCAATAATGATTTGTGTGTATTAGAGAGGGAGAGAGAGAGACTAATTGACTCTAGATATTTATAGGCACACAAGAGATAAGGTGAGAAAAATAATTAAGATGTATTGATTTATTGTGCTTGTAACTAGACTTTATAAACTCAGATGCTCAGAGATGGAGTCAAACCTTAATAAGAACTTTAATTTCTCATTTAGTAAGAGATTAGTCTTTACGGTTTTCCACTCTTCCTGACCACCATTTTGATCACTGCTTAATGTTCCAGCAATTAGAGGTACGTAATTTACTTAACCATTTCCCCGTTGTTAAATACTAATATTGTCACTAGTTCCTTATGTTTACAAATAGTGCTGCAATAAACATTTCTGAGCACAGCATGTTCTCCTCAGCTTGGGTATGAGCTTCACAAGGGCAGAGAGTTGTCTAAAGTATGGGTTTTCAGTGGCTAGAACAGTGCCTGGCACAAAGTAGGTGCCTAACAACATTTTAAAATATCTTTTGAACAGATAGAGTTGTCCTCATATTTTAAATTCTTTACTCAGGAGAGAGTCCCAGATGTCTATGCCTTCAGAGTATTCTTACCTGAATATCTCATTTGAGGAGAACAAATCACATACACAGTTTGTCTTCAATGTAGAAAAACTTGATAGAGACAGTTAGCAGCAAAACTTCCTTTTGCTTTTGTTCTCTAGAAAGAGATAACAAACTAAATGAGTAGGACTGACTGTATTAGAAAGCTGGACAGAGAAAGGGAAGAGAGTTAGCATTTCCTGTTTTCTGCTATATGCCAGGCACTGTGCTAAATATGATACTGGCAACATCTCATGTCATCCTCACAGATGTGGGTGCAATCATAACCATACTCAAATGAAAATTCATCCCTCTAGGACATTATGTAATTTGTCGAATTCCAAGGTTATCCACCTGGCTAATGGTAGAGCCAGGATTTGAATTCAAACATTTCTGGCTTCAAAGCATTTCTTCTTCGTCTTTTTATTTATTTTTGTAACCTTTCACTACCTCCCTGGAAACTGAATTGGATAGATAACTTAGAAAATCCTCCAACAAACTAACCTTAAAATTTTCTAATTCCAGTCCTGAGTCCATACAGGTTTTCCATCTGAGGCCAGAATGCTAAAACCCAAGGCATTAAAGTGCCAATTTAGGGAAGATTGTCTCTGTGGGTTGCTGACCTGCTCTGCAGTGACTTTCAGCTTTGCTTTATCATGACCTGGTCCCTCTTTGAAGATTGTCAGGAGAAAAGCAGCATCTTTCTCTATGTCCATAAAATATACTGTTTTCAATGATTCAGTTTTGAGCTCTCAGCCACATTAACAGGTTTTCAGGGGGAGATTCCAGGGTTTCCCTCCGTGAACATTTTGTGCTTTGAGGATGATGCTAAGGGTCTCAGCTTAGATGTCTGTATTTTGATGTCATTTACAGCCTTGCTGTGAGAAATTCAGTGCATTGTGACATAGGTCTTTCCATTAAACAGTGTCTGTCCGTGCTGTCCTGACCCCATCCCAGGCTAAGTGCAATGTATAGCCAGCATCTGCTGACTGCCTCCCCCTACTTCAATTTTATAACACAGAAAATGCAGCTGGGCAATTTGTCAACATTTTTCTTCTGTGCAAACCAGAAGAGTTTGTAATAGTCTACTGTTCTATACCCAGAGCAGAGGTCTGAGGCTTTTGAATGATAGTTCCCAGTTTTCTTGACCCTTTTCTGTATGAATTACCTTGTTAGAATAAACTGAACATTTCCCACAGACTTTAAGTTGCAGACTTCCCAGATGAGGAAATGCTCTACTAGTATAACCGCAGAACAGTGACATAAGAGACTGGACAAGGAGTAGATGTGGTTGACTTACTCACTTAGTCCATTCCCTGTTCTCTCCCATATTTCTACGGCCTCAAATCTCTGGTGCCCGTTGGAAAGGAAGTCTTGCACTCTACTTTGATCAGGTGACCAGAACCTGATTCTCACCAAAGTCCTTCTGGTCATGTTCTGCATTAACCTTTCTCTCTTACTTTAGATGCATAGCCTGATTTATGAAACCGACCCTGAATTTATCTTTCCCCTGAACTTCCCCCACCCTATTTCCTAGACCTGAAAGATCAGTCCATCTGATTAAAACCATTTTATTATTACTACTATTACCCTAGCAGTGTCCCTGTCTACATTCTTTTTTTTTTTTTTTGGCATTTGGCTTAGTTCTTTTCAAATCCTAGCGCGGCTTGGAGGCATTGCCACTAGGCAATGTACCTGGACTGAGTCCTGAAGTTGAGCATTTACTGAATACTTATCAGCACTCAGAAGCCTGAGAAAATACTACTTGAGTACACTACAGTTTATACTCTGGAATATTTTGCACTATAATGCCCAGTTTTGGAAAGCACTAACCCACAGTTGAGTCATGTCTTTGATAATAAGTAACGACCCATACCTCTCCAACCTGCCCGATTTCTCTTTTATTGACTGACATATTACTTTGGCAGAGACCTTTAGGACACCTGATTTTGATTCTACTATTGTTTCTATTTAAGGTCACAAGGCAACTTTTTTTTTACCCTAATCGTATAGATTCAACTCTTCAGCAGTGATATTATATATATATATATATATATATATACACACACACACACACACACACACACACACACACACACGTATATATGTACCTATATATATATGTACCATATATATATATATGGTACATATATATATATGGTACATATATATATATATGTATGGTTTCCAGTGACTAGACAGAATTTTATTGGGAAATGCAATAAAGTGCAAAAACAAAGCGGACCCTATTTCAATCTGGAAAGCAGCATAAGCTTTTTAGAAAATTCCAGGTACTGTCTGAGTACTGATTGATTGGCCTGCTGTGGGCATTACTAATAGAAGCAGTTTATTTCTCCAAGGCCCTTTGAAAAAATGATGGAGGCTACCCATGAGTATCATCTGAGAAAATATATATTTATGTACCACAATCCAGGGTTCTGGATACTTACTCTACTAGACATAAGTCCCTACTTGTATTTTAAGCTCTGTCCTTTTTCTCATCTCTACCTTTTTCTTTACAACCCATATGGGAGACATTTGAAAATTTTTCTAGATGAATTTTTGCTATGATGATCTGATGCATTTACCTCTAAAATAGTTCCCAATCCCATGCCCTTCTTTTCACCCACACTGAAGCCTTCTTAGTGTTTCTCTTAGAAAATTAAGAAGTTGCCTGTTAGGCATGTCTGCTTTTGGCCTGGCCTTCTTCCATTGCTACCAAAGTAGGTCCCAAGGAGTATATATCTAATCGTGTCACTTGCTTATTCCAAACCTTCACCATGGAATTAAGGCCACACCCTTAGGATGACATTCAAAGCCTCCAAAATTATAACCCCAATATTCCTTTTTTTGAATGATCTCCACCCTGGCTTCCCCAGCCTGCACATGGACAACATCAGGAGCAGTAGGAGGGCCTCATGCAGGGCTATTCTTCCCACAAAAGTTACTGCACTAAACAGAATTGAGAGAGTCCCTACTTTTCTCACCCGTTAAATATTTTGGCAAGTAATAGCTCAGATCCAATGGCTCAGATGGCCATTTATCCGTCCATCTAGTCATCAGTAAATATTTGGTGAGCAGTTACTCTAGTGTTATGCACTTGCAAGGAGCTAAGAATATATAGGTTTCTAAGCTGTCTTCAAGAAGCTTGTCATGTGATAATGGTAGGAGACCTGCAAACAGGTCTGTATTATTAGGTGTTAGGAGAACTGCAACACAATCTCAGTAGTTAAATAGGGGCACAAACTCTCTTGGCATGGTTAGGAAAGGTTTTCAGGCATCACATATTCTCACTTATAAGTGGGAGGTACACATTGGATAGGTACAGACACAAAGATGGCAACAATAAACACTGAGAATTACAAAACAGAGGAGGGGGACAAGTGTTTAAAAACTACCTATCTGGTATTATGTTCATTACTTGGGTGACAGGATCATTAGAAGCCCAAACCTCAGCATCACACAATATACCCATGTAACAAACCTGCATATGTACCCTCTGAATCTAAAATTAAAAAGAAAAAGAAAAGGTTTGTGGGAGAAAGAGATGTATGAAATACACACACACACACACACACACACACACACACACACAACACACACACACACACGCACCAACAAAAAACAATCCACCTGATGTTTAAGGATCTCGGAAACTAAAGACTGCTCTATTACACTTGTTCTTTGATGATAGAGACAGCAATAACTCTAACTGCTGGCATTGGCCACTTCGTTACTAACCCTAGGATAATCTGCACATGGAGGCCACTGAATTGTCATGCTGGGTATGTTTTACCAGTGAGTGATTGCAGTGGCTGAAGGGGATCCAGGCTTCTATTTAAAACAGTGATTGTATGTGGCCCCAAATTTAGTGATAGAGCCTCATTCAGGGTTGCTGAGGAATGTAGGAAAGGGAGGAGGTCGTGAAAGAATATTACTTCAGTTTATTTAATAGTTAAATTCAGAGACTGGGGGTAACAACAAAATTTTAAAAAACAAAATTAAAGACAAAACACAACACCAGAGTAGGTAGAAAATAATTATCTTTTCCAGCATAGTCCTAATTCTGTGAACCACTCTTGCCCATAGGGTAGGCTCAGTGAGATGAAATGAAATACACTCTTGCAGGCCCGTGAAGGAGGATTCTGAGCCTAACCCAATTCCTTGGGTGCCACGTCTTAAATGAGATTATAATAGTGGTAATATTTAGTATCACAGCTCTGTTCCTTGCCTTGGTCTTAATGATGCTGCCCAGAGCTTAACCTTTAATGAGTTTATTTTTACTTCAGGAAAATGTCCTTGCCCAGCTAATTGTGTCTTTCCTAACTCGATTATATCTGGTCTCTCATGGGATAGCTTAAAAAGTTAAAAACATATCCGTGGTATTGTTCATATTTTTTTTCTGTCGGAGCCAGTTTTCAAAACTCCACAAAGTGAGTAAATACAACTTAAGCTCTTTGGAAATTCCTTGTCAGGAGAGTTTGAAAAAAAAGTGTCTTTAATTGACTATGGGACATGCAAGTTCAATTTAATTTCAAAGTGTAATGAAGTTAAGCTTTGCATGCTTTTATCTTATTAATTTCTTTTGGGTTTGTGGTTTTTTTTAAAAAGTGAAGATGGAAAAATAAAAGCTTCCAAGTAATCACTTTTCTTGGTGAAATTTGAGTTATGGATGGCATTTGCAGTAATACCATATTAACAGAATATGATATACCACCTGATATACATTGAGGTGTCCTAATTCAGCTGATTATTTGATCAGGCTGAGAAGAGAAGAAGAAGTCATTCCTTGCTTGCTTCTAAACACTTGCCTAGTTGAGAAAAAGTTGGAAGGTTGAAACACTTCCTTTCTGGACTCTCAAATATCACAAAAAACTATCATATCAGACTCAAAGATCACTTCTTCCAGGAAGCTTTTTTTCTCATCACCACCTCATAAACTAGGCTGGATGATGTTCCTAGGTGTTAATTTTCATAACACTGTAGGTATACATTTAACATCAGACTTAGACCATTTTTTGTGTTTGTAATGATCTGATTTTATATGTCCCCTAACTCTCTTATGGTGTGATATACTTAAGGGTAGAAACAATATCCTATTTAGCTTCCCATTGTCTTGTACAGGTCATGAAACAGAGTAGGCCCCTGGTGGTGACTGAATGAGCATTGCCTGCATCTCCACACATACATCTTAATTGGCAGATACTTGTGAGTGAGGCCTCTGAAGAGTGTTCATTTCATAATTACGGCACAGGTTCAATGATAGAGCACCTGAGGTCCTATGTCCCATAATTGGCTATTTGTGGGTGTTATAGACTGAATGTGTTCCCCCTCCCAAATACATATGTTGAAGTCCTAACCCCCAAAGTGATGGTATTTGAAGATAAGGCCTCTGAGGAGGTTATAAATGTTAAAGGAGGTCATAAGGGTGGGACCCTAATCTGATAGGGCTGGTGCCCTTATAAGAAAGAAAGAGCCACCAGAGGTCTCTTTCTCAGTCATTTGAGGACATAGCAAGAGAGCAGTTGTCTGCAAACCAGGAAGAGAACCCTCACTGGGAACCAAATTGGCGGGTACCTATATCTTGTACTTGCCAGCCTCCAGAGTATGTGTAAATTTAAACCACCCAGTCTGTGGTATTTTATTATGGCA
The DNA here is from genome assembly GCF_000001405.40 of Homo sapiens. Taxonomy (NCBI): domain Eukaryota; kingdom Metazoa; phylum Chordata; class Mammalia; order Primates; family Hominidae; genus Homo; species Homo sapiens. Next base: position 131,797,862 of record NC_000003.12, on the reverse strand, counting down.
ATTTGAGCTGAGTAATGCATGGGGTAATTTTATTCACTGAGTGCACTTGTAGACAGGCCTCTACACAGCTCATTCAGTGAGTTTTGATGTAAAAGGCATCGATGTGTTATATCTGAGCAGGATAGCTTATATATCTCAGAACATCTACCTTAGTGTTAGTGCACGATTACCAACCAGATTGCCATTGCTAGATGGAGGATAATACTTAACCCAGCCTTGTGTATCTATTGTATTTAAAGTGTCAGTAAAGTTTATAACTAGAGTTTCTCATTTCCGTGGTCCTAGTTCCTGCAGAATAGATGAAAACATGTAATGAGCTGTCCTGAGTGTTAGCCTTTTCTGGGATGTACATTTGGCAAGCTTGCAATACAATGTAAGTGCAGTTTCTGGTAGAATCTCTAGCGAACACTTTTGGCCACACTCTGGGAGTTCTCTGTGACAAAATGAACTGGTTAGTCTGGATTAGTCAGTGCTGTAAACCAGTCACCATGATGGTCCCTTCATGCTTCAAAAATCATGGAAAGAGCCCCAGTAAATTGGAGATTTCCTGTACTGCCTTTACCCAGAAGCCACCTCTTGCCAGAGTTCAGGGCCCCTTACTCAGAAAATATTAAATCTGAGAAAAGATTGAAGCTAGGTCATTGCAAATCATGAGGGGTGTAAAGTATTCTGCTTTGAGCCCATCCCTCCTTGACAAATAAAAAACGCCAAGAAAGATGTGCTTGATGGGGCCAGCATCTCAATCTAGAATTCAGACTTTCATAGCTGAAGAATATCAAAGCCACTGTGACCTATGGAGTTTATACAGCATGGGGTAAAGCTGAAGTGAAGACATGTCTAGAGGTTGCAGGTGACTGGCCCTATCAGGAGTAAATAGAAACCATTCTGCCCTTTCCAAAGAAAGAGAGAACAGTCTGCTGGTTGAAGGCAAAGCATTGTTACTTTTGCAAAGAAAGTTAAACTTGCCAACGTCATTAGATGAAAAGACTATGTGTGTATTATTCTAACCACAAAGCAATGGCAGTGAGAGGAAGGCTCCTGCCAGCTGCTTCAGTGAGCCACAGTGGCACTGATGCTCTTTGAGTGGGAGGTTTCTGTTCATTTGCAAATGCGATGACATTTTCAGCTTTTTGTACCAGGAACGGAAGCACCTTGGGAAGCTTGTGGTTGAATGCATTCTCCCTAGAGAGCAGCAAATTAGGTTAAATTCATTTACTGATGGAGGCTCCAGGGGAAGGGGGACCCTGGGGAGGAGGGGGCAGATGATGTGTGGCAGTGACTTATTCTAGTTTGAATTGACTTAGAAAAAATGTATTTATTTGCTTCCTTTCTCCAACCTTCATCATTTCCTCCAAAGACTGCAAGCATAGACTTATACAACATGTCCTCTTTGCAGAAAGCTGTGAGGTGGTTGTGTGCTCTTGACCTGAGGGAGCAGGCCCAGAATCAATGAATGTGTGTGTAATTAAACTCCAGGGGATGAGACACCCGACTTCATCCAAATTAGAGATTCAATTCAACAGCAAGTTTGATAAAAAGGGAGGTCGGTAGTGACCAAACTAACCCTGCTACGTCGTTAACGAGGCTGAAGATGATTCCAAAATGGCTTAATGTGGCAGAAGTCTTCTCACAAGATGGCTATGATTCAAATAACCTTGGACAGCTGTGATGGAAGAGCAAATAAATAGCTCCTTTTACAAAAAAAAAAAACTCTGTCATCTCCTCTAGCCAAAGATATTAGAGCCCAGAGGAACCTTATTTGGTGCTGAGTCCACCCTTTCAATTTCCAAAAGAGAAAAGAACTCTGATAAGTTAAATGACTCCCATGGAATTGGAGATGTCAACTGAAGAATGATGAGGTTCATAAATGTGGAAACAAGAGCTTTATTTCTCATAAAGCGTTGCAACCTGCATGGTGGCCATTCTGACAGACTGGGAAGCATAGCCTCTGGCCAGGAGCCAAAAACAGACTCTTCAAGGGAGGAGAAAAGGGAACAGGAGTGTGTGCTGAGGTGGCCACATTTACATATTTAGTGAGCTATAAGAGGAGTCATAAATATTTTTAAAAGGAGAAACACACACATTCACAACTGAGCTTCATGATTCTCCAGGGGACCCATGTTCAAAATACAGCCTTGTTAGCGTGACCCGAGGGTGGTGTTTTCAGCCCTCTGATGACAAATGTGAAGCACAGGACACAAAAGCCCCTAATGTACACCCTCCATAGACTGGCCAGAACCACTTCATAGTCTGTGGTCTCTTATCAGGAAGAAATGCTGGTCAGCTGTTTTGTTAAAACCACAAAAGGGAGGGGCAGTCATTACTGGTTAGTTGATATCAGTGGTAGAGTCTCTGTAAAGGGCTGGTTTCTGTTTGGTCCTTAGGGAAGAAAGCTTAATGGTGATTATCAAGGGAGGGGATATTACAAGGAATGTCTGACCTCACATACTGTCATGACTGAGAACTCAATTTTCAAGATTACTCTGAGGTCCCCTTGGCCAAGAGGGGTTCTGTTCAGTCAGTTGGTGGATTTGGGATCTCATTTTTATTTCTCAGAGGCTTTTATTAATATGTTTCTCTGTGCTTTGATGCTTATGCCTCTCACTCTGTAATTCTGAACCCAACCATTGCCCTATAGGCGGTGTCTACAAACCAGGGGTCATCCAACAGTAACAATAAGAATATTTCCAAGTGCTGACGGAAAGAGCTCTAGATTTTTTTTGTCAACTCACTAGCAGATATTTGACTCACTGGAAGATTTTCTGCTGGGATAGAATATTTCACCTCTCTCAATAGCGGAGTTTTCATCTGCAAAATAAAGCAATAAACAACTAACCAAAATAGTAGTACTGCCATGGCTAAGCCACGACAGATGGCAGTGTTGCAGAAATAGGAAAAATGTTCCCTCTGGTGGTTGAAGATGGGAAACACACCCTTTCCTCTGGGCTGACTTTGCCCTAAGGAAGGCGACTGCCTTGGTGAGGGACTGAGTTTCATTCCCCAAGCTTTCATCCAGGCACACTTTTATAGCACACAAGCTACACACTCATATGTGGGAACTCTGGTACTCAACTACCTAGTACTCAAGCCTCAACTACCCAGGGAGTTAAGGGAGAACATAAGGAAGAACATCTACCTGTAAAAGTACGTTGTAAGTTTTAGCACTCCTTATCAATGCAAGTCCTATTAAGATATTGAAAGTGGAGGAATACAGGAAGATCCTTTATAGCAAAATTGGGCTTGGATATCTAAGTTGAAATTCATTCTACCACTAAGGGCTTTATACCAAAGTCAACCACATCCCTAGAAATGCAGTGTCCAGCTGGGTGTGGTGGCTCACGCCAGTAATCCCAGCACTTTGGGAGGCCGAGGTGGGTGGATCACAAGGTCAAGAGATCGACACCATCCTGGCCAACATGGTGAAACCCCATCTCTACTAACAGTACAAAAATTAGCTGGGCATGGTGATGCGCGCCTGTAGTGCCAACTACTCAGGAGGCTGAGGCAGGAGAATCCCTTGAAGCCAGGAGGAGGAGGTTGCAGGTTGCAGTGAGCTGAGATGATGCCACTGCACTCCAGCCTGGCAACACAGCAAGACTCCATCTAAAAAAAAAAAAAAAAGTTGTTTCCAAAATTGAACTGGATTTTCAATGAGTATTTTCTTGAGAAAGTTCCCTGAAGGATGATCATAAAGGTCTGTATGTCAGGATACATCCCAAGGAGAAGTGTCATTCCTCAGAGGCAGTCAGAGATGACTCCTGTTTGCATGGCATGTTAAGACCTTGATAATCCTGCATACATATGCATACATTCTTACAGTCACTGTCCCAGTGAATTATAATTATTTGAATAAATATGCATGTAAACATGAGTTAAAAAGCTAACTTGATAATTCTGTTGCTTCTTAGGATGGCTACATACCACAGGCAAGAAAATGGGAGAGCAACCACTGACAAGCTCATAGAAACAGGGCATGTGATATGTGAGTGACTGGAGAATGCAAGGAGTAACTCCTGACATGAGGACTCTAATCTCATGTATACAGACATGAAGGTTTACAAGTCTGTTGCCCTCTTCTCTGACTCTCTTCTCTTTAAAGAGGTGATATTTGAGCGGAGACCTGGGTGATGAGAAGGAGCCAGCCAATGTGCCAATCTGAGTATTAAATATTCCAGAAAGAGGAAATAGCCAGTGAAAAAGTCCATAGGCAGGTACAAATTCTGTGTGTTTTAAAAAAGAAATAGATTTGTATATTTGGATCTTAGTGAGTGAGAGAGATAGTGACTATGTATCAGAAATGCAGATGCTCCACCTACAGAAATTCCAAATCAACTAGTCTAGGGTGGTGCCCAGGCATCGGTGTTTGGGATTTTTGGTTGTTGTTGCTGCTGCTGTTGTTGATCTTGTTGTTATTTTAGGTTCTCCCAGTAATTCTAATCACAGACTAAAGATAACTGATATAGAGCTTTATAGGGTATGGGAAAAAGTTTGGCTTCTAAGAACTATAGAAAACCACAAAGAATTTTAAGCAGGGGAGTGATGTGATACAATCCATGATTAAAATTTCCCTCTTGATCCTGTGTAGAAGATGGATTGAAAGAGGAAAGGGTGGCAAGAATGAGGAAAACTGTGAGTAGGCAGTGGCAAATATCCATGAAGTCACTCTTGGTCTAGTGGAGAAAAAAATGGAAGGCTATGAGAAATGTTATTAAGGTGTTGTCCTTCACAGCTTTACCTAAAATGTTTATTTGCTGATGGATTGGATTAGATTTTGGGGTATGGGAAAAGACGAATGACCAACAGAATTTTGATTTAAGCAACTCAGTGCATTGTGGGGCCACTTATAGAAACAAAAGACACTGTGGTGTCACATGGGTGCACATGGGAGAAGGGAGTGGAAAAAACAATTCTGGTTTTGGCATGTTTTGTTGGAGATACACACACACACACACACACACACACACACACACTGGAAATACCTACACTGTAAATATATATGTGTGTATGTATGTATGTATATACACACACGCACTCATTATACACACACACTCCACATATATATACAATATATACATATATACACACACATATACATATATAGTGTGTGTATATATATACATATATACACACGTGTATATATATACATATATACACGTGTGTGTATATGTATATATACACGTGTGTATATATGTATATATACACGTGTGTATATATACATATATACACGTGTGTATATATATATACATATATACACACACACATATACATATATATATGTATGAGATTTCCAGTGTAGGTATCTGGTCGGCAGGTACACATTGGGATATTCACATTGGGAACTTAGGAGAGAGATCAGGTATATGTATAAACATTTGAGTTTATATGGTATATAGATGGTATTTCATGCCATAGGTTGAGATTTCTTCAAGAGCAAATGTGGACATAGTTTTCGGGTATGGTAATGTTTAGGGCATCCAAGGCAAGTAAGCACTTTTTGGGTGAATTAAAATTGAGTATAAATACTCTGTGCAGAACACTCTTACACTGGTATTAAAATATCTTTCCTGAAAATGAAAAGGAATCTGAAGTGGAAGAAAATGGAACTAAAGAATTTATTATATATAATTTTGCTGATTGATTTTTCTCTTATAAAAGAAATTGGATGGAAACATATATGAGAGGGGGGCAAGAATAAACTTTTCAATGGCAACACCCCTATATCATTTCATGTTATAGTAGCCAAATCTACCAAAGAGAATCATTGCAACCATTCCTGCCTCATGTCTCTTCCCAGGCTGGTCCTCTCTGCCAGGAAATACATAGGCATTTTCTGGTCCTAGTTTCCTTAAATTCTGATGCAAGCAGAAAATTGCCAGTTCTGTTACTGAGTAATTATAGCCCTATATCTGAAATAACTTAATGAGGTCTTCTAGCAGCCTTAATGCCAGACTTAATAATGAAATGAGTCCTCCACCAACATGGCCCCAAGGCACCAAGTGGCCGTGGGGTTGGGGCTTCCCAGAGAATCATGAGAAATTTCTCCATCCTGCAAGTGTATCAATAATTTACCTGCCTTCCCAATCTTATATGATCTGTTAATTGATTCACCTAAGTAACAGACTTCAAATCGGGAAACACCACCCCTGGGGCAAAGTGATGATTTTCTGAAGAGTACGCAGTCAGGGCTTAATTTGCAGATCTTCCAGTTCCATCTGTACTGTTTCCTAAAATTGAACTGCCTAAGAACTCATACTTCTTACGCTTTTTCAAATAAAGTAAGCTTGTCAGCACTGGGACACTGTCTATAATGACAGTAAACCCTGTGGTTTACTGAAACCTTCCAAGTGCTAAACAAGGGGCCATTTGAAATATTAGTTTAGGTGTTGAGAAAATGGATAACTATCCTGATTCAGTAATCAAATCTTTCTGAAAGTCAGGTTTTCCAGTTCTTTTCTTTCCACAAAATTGAAGGTAGACCTCATTGACTTGTCAGTTGTTGGATGACTAAAAATAATTTTTGCTGATGAATCACTGTGGTTTTGATATACAACTTGGAAAAAGTGCAAAAAAAAGAGTGACAAGGCTATTACAAAACTTCCATTCATGTCAATTTATTTATAAGAAAAAATTTCTCAGTTGTAAGCATTTATTAAAATGAAAAATAGGAATGTACTTGAGGCTGAATCTCATTTATCCTAGTGGTTGGTCATATTTATTCATGGATACATTAAGTAATTGTGGGAGGAGTAGCCATTCATCTCATTAAAGCTGCATGCTGAATTATAATTTTAAATCCAGTAATCATCAAAATGTAGACTATAATTTATTGTTTTGATCAATGTTGTACTTAAAATTGTAATGAAAACTCAATCCAAACAAAAATCTTTAACACTTTGAGTTATGGAAATTTTTTTTGGTAAAGATTACTAAAGACTGCACAATAAAACATGTTAAAGCATAAAATTGTATTGTATTAGGCTAAAATTCTATGAGGAAAATAAAATGGAAATACTGTTTGAAGGGGCAAAAGGAAGGTTACAAAATTTGTTAAAGAAGGCAAATTTGTATGTTTTTGTATTTGTGTATACAAATCAGTGGGGTTTTTTTCTCAAATAAATGATAGGATTTAATCACTATGGCATCAAATTATCACTCTTCAAATGACAGCTGAGGAGCACCTAACTGAGCTGGCAAGAGAAGTCAAGAAAGAGTTTCAGATGAGGTGATGCCACAGCTGAGTCTCAGAAGACAAGCAGGAATTCACAGGGTGAAGAAAAGAAGGGCAGGATTTCTAGACTGAGGGTGCATCTGGCTTTCCCAAATAGCCCTCATGAGGCTTGGCCTGTATAGAGAAATTTAAATTTCTCAGTTAGACTCCTAAGAAAGGTGCCTGTTAGAGCCAGGCAAGGAGTGACTGGCAAACAAAATGAGCAATTTTGGGGTAGGGGGTATCCAGACAGGTCCCAATTGGCCTGCAGAACAAAGAAGCACCCCTGGGGAAGGTGAGCTTTGGCTAAGCAGCTTAGTTAATTTTTAGATGTCCCTGTGTTCCTAAAACTCTGTGACAGAAAGACTTGGGTATTTACTGCTTTGTGAGCACAGGAGTTAGCATAGTCTTTCATTAAAGGTCAAACCAACCCAGGGAGAAGTATATAAGTCCCATATCTGGCTGGCAGGAAAAGGAGACAGGACCTTGAATTTTCAAAAGTGTGCATATATGAATCCAAGTTGGCATTATACTGCCAGGCTGCCTGAAATGGATAGGTAGAATGGGTAGGTGGTATTAGGGAGAAGAAACACGATTCTCCTTGATTTCCTCTCCTATTTCTTGTCATCCAATGTCCACTAAATGATCTGACAAGGGGAGGTGGTTAGAAGGAGAATGGAATTAGAGGAAGAAAACAGACATAGATTGAGTGCCTACTTACATGCTTTAAACTTCAGCACCATATAATCCTTGAACTCCTGGGCTAGATGTAGGGCTCCTTCTTTGTGCTTCTAAGGTTGCTTGTGCAGAATTCTAACTTGATTTTCTCTATTCTGCAGGGATTTTTTTTCCTTGTGTATATGCCCCCTCAAAATCAAGACTTTCTTAAAAACAGAGGTTATATATTCTAACATTCTGGACCCCTAACACAGGACTTAGCCTAGTAGGCACTCAAATGCTTAATTAACTGAATTTTATTTCTTCAGTGGTGTTTTACATTAAATGCCTCATTGAATAATCATAGCAAACAGTGACATAGTGTGCAGCATGTACTGGTATTGCTTTACATGCTCACTAACCTGCATAATCCTCCTAAAACCCTGTAAAGTGGCAACTATTATGATCTCCCATTAAATAGAGGGACATCAAGTGACACAAAGGTTAAATAACTTGGCCATGGTTTCACAACTAGTGGTAGCAGAGCTAAAATTTGAACCAAGGCAGTCTAGCTCCCAAGTCTGTGCTTTGACTTGTTGCTATATCACATTGTTCCTGCCACACTACTATTAGGTGGATATTTATAACCTCATTTTGTAAAAGAAGAATGTGAGTCTCTGAGAGTACAAGGGCGTCAGTCACCCAAGACACACAGCTAGTAATTGACAGGTCTGGGATTTAGATTCAAACATGTGCAGTTCCATATTTACTATACTCTAGAGCAATGTGTACGTCTCCAGAACAGGAACCATTATCTTAAGTATTTTGACTGAGGAAAGTGAAAGGATGTAGGATGAGTAGCCTAAGATGGGTGGCTGGTAAACACCCAGGACCAGGTGGAAGTTTCCTTTATTATTAGCCTCTTATGTAAAAGTCTTTCTCTCTCTCTCTCTCTCTCTCTCTGTGTGTGTGTGTGTGTGTGTGTGTGTGTGTCTGGTTGAGTTCTCTGAATATCATTAATATGTGCACAGTGTGAAAATTTTAAGAATAAAGAAAAGAATGTGGAAAAACCATAATTGTCATCATTCTACCATCCCGACATAATCATTGCTAATAATTTCTGTTAGTATTATATATATATGTGTGTATGTATAAATATAAGTAAATTTAAATTCACAGTTTATATTTGACTTTTTTCCACTTAACGTTATAGCCTCAGAATTTTCTAATTTCATTAAAAATCCTTCAACTGTGTGATTTTTAATCGCTGCACAGTAATTGGATAAATCATTATTTAATCCTAATTCCCTTATTATTGGATATTTATCACTGTTTATATCTTAGATAATTTCTTTAGGGAAAACATTTAAAAGTAGACTGGTTGGATGAAAGACTTTATGCATATAGACAAAGTGTCCTCAAGAAAAGTTGTATAAATTTACTCTGCCACCAAATCTATAAGTAAATTCCATCTCCCCAACCTTTGTCAACATTGAGTATTACCTTTTTAAAATCTATCACTTAGGTACCTAAAAAACTTTCCCCTCGGTTTTAAAATTGTAACTCATTGATTATTAAAGAGGCTAAACTTTTTCTGTTATGCTCTTCATCATTTGTATTTTTTCTTTTTGAAATTGTACATTCAATATCATTTGCCATTTTTTTCCATTCGGGTATTTTTATTAATTAATCAGCATGCATAACTTCTTTATTTATTAAGAATATGACTTGATCTGGTAAAAATATTTTTTCAATTGTTTATTTGTCTTTTGTTTTTTTAAATTCCAATTGCTCATTTGTCTTTAAATTTGAGCAGATTTTTCTTGTATATGGAGGTTTAAAAATTATGTCTGAAAACTATGAATTTCTTTTGTAGGCTCCTCATTTGCTTCTAAAATTTGAATACCTCAAAATCAGAATCATATTTACCTATGTTTTCTTAGACTTAGGGTTTTAATTTTTATATTTAAAAATTTGGTACATTCGCCATTCATTTTGAAGCATGTATGATACAAGTGCTAATTAATCTTTTTCTCTCAATAATTACTCAAAAATGATATATTGGACAGTCCTTTTTCCTGTGGTTCTTAGACAATTCTCTCCTAGTGTTTTATTGAACAAACATCTGCACCACCTTTATAAGATAAAGGGCACTGTGATATGTCCTGTACGGTCTTCAGATTCATAGTTTCCAGATTCTGCCTTCCAGGAACTTATCACCAAGTAGGGGAAAGTCAAGCTACCAAATTAACTCTTACACAAGATGGAAGTAAGAGAGAAGGCAGACATCTTGGTAATTGCCTAAAGTTTCTATCACAAGAGTGATGAAATTGCATGGCCAGTTACTCTCATGTGTTACTCAGAGATGCACCACCCAGATCCTCCTTCAAGAAAAGTTGATGCCCAGCTTTAGGAAGGGTGATCATCAGAGAGCCTTCAGCCGCCAGATCCATCAGGGTCTGCCTTGGTTGCAGAACACCTCACACAAGCTCTGCCCTTTGCGGGGCATCCAGTCAGTAAATTAGTGGGGCTGGGATATAAAAAGCCTTGTCATGTGGGCTAACACAGAGCAATTCTGACAGATCGTATTTGCTCCAGAGCTCCCCACCAGGTTGGCCAAGACTTCATCAACCCCGCATTGCAGTTCATCTTCTCCCTCTGCTGAATCCTGTTATTTCTGTTTCTTCCATAGATGCTAATCCCTAATAAATATCTAACCCCCTAAATCTACTTCAACATCTGCTTCTGCAGAAGTCAATCTGTGACATCCAGCATCTCCCTCCCCATGTATTGCTCTAGACCAAGTTGGCAAATCAGCCCTTCCAAGGTGTCTATAAAAACTTAATTCTGGAGACCCAGGAGAAATCTTACAAATGACTTTGGTGTACCAGGAAATGAACTGAAGCATGATGGGTGCATCAATTAGCAAGTAATTTGAATTTAAAATGTGTGAAGATACAAATAGAGAGGCAGAAGTTCAAGTCGATAATAACTGATGTGTTCACAGAAGGTGTGCAGGAAACCGTCTGGCAGTCAGAGAGAGCATGTGCTGGTGCTAACTTCTCAGAATGTGATTGTAGAAGGATAGCATCATTCCTTCATATCCAAAGAGAAGACTTTTTATTTTCCCCAGACAATACAAATATGATTTCTAAATGGTTGCTGTGTAATAACACCTAATATTTACAGAGCACACTATGGGCCAAGCACTGCGCCATGTACTTTTTAAGGATATTCTCACTTAATCTTCATATTGTACATTATTTGTACCATTCCTATTTTCTTAGAAAGTTTAATTATCTTGCCCAATGTCATAAACACTGGAAGTGGTGGGGCAAGAATATGTATGTACCTCATCAGCCTAAATACTGCTTTACCCTAGGTGCCTTGGCCACTAATCAACTGTGTGACCTTCAAAAGTTACTCTCACTTCTGCTTCTCAGAAATAGACATATAAGTGTTTATCTCATGGAGTTATTTGGATGATTACATTAGAAAAGGTAATGTAAAGCCCCTAAAATTTTATCTGTCACAAAGTAAATTCTCCACAAATGTCAGTTGTCAATATCAGTGTTATTTTTAGATGTCCTACATGAATTTCCATATTGTCTGAAGTATGTTTCACTTCTAATAAGGGATCACACATGAAAAGTACTCAGAAACTTCCAGTCACTCTGGCAAACTCATCTGACATATAAAGAACTCTGTCTTCCAAACACAAAGAAATACTAGACAACATAAATGTATAAAGTAAACACAAAGCTGAGTTTGAAGGTAAGGCAAGGCAATTCTCGGTGCCAGAAATGAAGAAGAGGAACAAAGCCAGATTTCTGGGCAGAAGCTATTGATGACCAGATCATAAAGCTATAAGATCTAATTATTAGCCCTCAGACCTGGAGAGCTGGTGCTTTAACCAATGCCTACCTTCATGTAAAACAAGAGAAGAGGCTTTGGGCCTTGCGGTTAAGCCCCTCCATAGATATGGAAGTTACCCTGATTAGAGAATGAAGAAAGGAACCTGGCAAAGAAAGCATCATGAAAGCTGGTCATATATGGGAGTACTTAACATAGTTCTGATTTATACTATCTGAATACGCAAAGGCCCAAATCAAGATAACAATATATAAAACATGTATCCTAGAACTTATGGCTTCCTTAAGGTCTTGGCAGAAGCAAACATAAAACCCATGCATTAGGGACACCTCCAAACCCTGAGCACCCAGACTCACAAGAAATACAATTCCTGCTGAAGATGATCTCACAGACAAAATGACAAAACACCAGGGAATAAGCCACCATGAGAGAGAGAGAGAGAGAGAGAGAGAGAAAGAGAGAAAGAGAGAGAGAGAGTGCTGGCAGATGTAACAAACTGTCACATTTTTACCCGAAGAACAAGAAGTAATAAGACAATCTGAAATTAAAGGAAGTATTTTCAAAACATACACTAAGTCAAGAGGAGAGAAACAATAAGAAAAAAAATAAGAAAGAATGGAAATAGCAGCTCTGGAGATTGGGGGAGCCATGGAGTAAAGGACTGGGAGAAACCAAGTGGTCATGGCGTCACAGTAGGCCTCATGGGGAAGGTGAAAAATAAGCAGAAACATGAAGGAGGTGAGGGAGGTAATGAAGCCGGTATCTGGAAGAAGAGAGTTGCAGGTGTTGGAAACAAAGGAAGCCTTCAAGGCAGGACTATAGCTTGTATGTTTGAGGATAGCAAAGAGGGCAGGATAGCTGAAGAGTGTGACCAAGGAGAAGAGTTAAATTACTTAATCTCCCTAAGCCTCAGTTTACTCAGCTATAAAGTGGGGAATATGTACTTCTCAGAATTGCAAGGATTAAATAATTTAAGCAAAGGAGCCATGTCTATGGGACAGTACTGGTCTGGATCCTTTATGTCTGCTATGTCCTCACACCAAGCCTCTGAGTTAGGTCTTAATATCTCCATTCTACACATATAGACACAGAGGCTCCAAGAAGTTAAAGATATTGACCACAAAAATAGTGAGAGGTGCAACTGGGATTTAGACACAAGCCCATTTGTCTCTAAATCCCAAGTTCTTTCTACAGTCTTCATGTGAAATAGCCAAATGCAGTGATGGGTATATAGTAGGAGATTGGTTGCAATAATTCCATTTTTTAATTAACTTGAACCAGATATATCAGTAATAGATTCTGTCTTAGTTTTGGTGCCCCTCAAAGTAGAGCCTAAGGCAAATATTAGAATATAGGTATGTTATTTGAGGGGTGATGTCAGAAAGCAAGAATTAAGAAATGGGGAAAGTGAGACAGGGAAGAAAATAAAAAAGATTGTGGAAGACTGTTACTACTATGGGCATCTGAAGCCCAATCCCACTGGAGACTTTTTGAGGAGCTATGTAGAATGCACCTCAGAATTTTCCCTCCCAAGGCAGAGATGCTCAGACGTTAACCCTTCAGTTTTTGAATCTCATGGGTTCAGGGTTACCCCTCAATGTGATAATTCACCCACACTTGCAGGCTGCCTCCTACATGAATTCTCATAGTGTCAGAGAAAATTCAGAGGCTGAGAAGCAAAGAGATGCAAAGGCTTATGGCTGTCTGCCACAGTTGCGGCAGAAATCAGAGGTGGGTTGGGGCAGAAGTGAGGGTGCTATAAATTATTCTATTTTATATTAGGTACCAGTGCAGGAACCAAAGAGAAGGAATCACCTACAGACCTATACTGATTTACTAAGAGGAAAATTTTATAATAGTCAGAAACACTCAAAGATAGAACAAAGGGCTAGGAAGTAATATCGCCCTGCATAGAAAGTGCCAAGCAGGGAGGCTTATTGGTCAGGAACTCAATCATTGGTCAGACAGGTGGACCAGTTAGCTTTTAGGAACATTCCAACCCTGAGAGTCTATGACATTGTTTATTAAATATACACTATTTGTCGTAAAATGTCAGCACAAGTGAGAGTTAAAAACCTTAAAACTATATTGTATATTTGCTGAGCAAAATTTCTCTGAGAAGTTCAAATTACTTTCCTATGGTGTCAGAACTTTGGGACTTCTCACCGTACTTCAGCTAAATAAATCATCCTGGAAAACCTGAAATAGAATCTGACTTCTGTTGTTCCCTGGGCAGTCTGTGGTGTAGATCACTGGACTCAGCTCTCTTGTCCTTTGACCAGAATGTCTGGTCAGTATGGATAAGCAATAGGAGATGACCTTGCTGAATTACATTAGCTTGCTTTCCATCACAGCTTTGCCCCTTTTTCCTGTCCCCAAGCAATAGGTTTAAGAGCACAGTTTTTGAAGTCAGATGGTGCTGGCTTTGACTGAAGCACAAAATGAACTTAATAAGAGGATATCAATATACCCCAGTGAACTTAGGAGAACTGGAGAATCAGGCTTGAACCATACAACCAGGCTGCAAAAATGGTATCACAAAAAAAAATCAAAGTCACTAAGCATTAGACACTAAGGCTTCCATCATTGCCAGTTCTGTGCTGGGAATTTCATTTTGTGACAATTACTACTGCCACCACCTCCAGAGAAAAAGCTCTACTTTAACCTAAGTCAAAATCCAGCCCAGGTCATCTGATGGCAGAACCCAAGTGTTACAACTGCTTTAACCTTCAATAGAGGCTGGAAAATCCCCCATCAAGATTTATAGGTAACTAACACAGAAGGGGAGCTCAGACATGGATGGCCAAAACTGATGCCCATTATTCACTACTAGGCCTATCTCATAGGGTGGTTGAGAAGATCAGATATGATATTGTAAGCACTAAAAATTAGTACTTGCTTATTATAGTGGAGGTTCCAGGCTTTATCTTAAGAGGACATAGGGATTAGAGGAAAAGCCAAAATGCTTATTCCAAGGCTTGCATTTGTCGTTTTAATTTTTATCAGCATTAGTGAAATGGTTTCTTTCTTCTTTTTATGGGTACTCACACTGATGACATTGCCATCATTGAAGATGGCTGGAGCTAAGCTGTACACAAAATCATTGTGGTTTTCTCTCCCAGCCAGGATTCTTAAACCATGATAAGCAGATTGTCTCCTTGACAACTATAACTGAGCCCCTCTCAAGAGTTGGCCACAAGGTTCTTGCTTATTACTGCCTACTTATCTAAGGTCAGCAGCATGGGGCCAAACACCTGGCAGCCTCCAAGCCAGGAGGTGCATATGTCTCATAAAATCTATGAGGACTCACTTCACTGAGAAGAGATGGATTTTATCATTTTCTTTTATGGAAAAGTTTAGCATTGCATAAAATCACAAGAGCAGAAAATACGATTTTCTACATCTGCAGAAAATGGTAGATGTACATTTCTATTCATCATCATTCCCTATGAAGGAAACCTAAATCTCTGCCCTTCTGTTGCCATTTTTTCACCATATATTATATTCCCTAGTAGAACATTTTAAATCTAGTGCCTAATTCCAGAAATCATGTAGAGCCTCTTTGAAATAAGATTAATCTTCTCAAGATAACTAGGAGCAATGTACTTTACTGTGTATGTGTGTGTGTATGCATGTGTGTGCATGTGTGTGTGTGTATTACTTTAAATCGATGAAATAAACGGAACTGAATTTATATATGTCTAAAGTGCATCACATGTGCAAAGGTAAGAAATTATTAAATTCTTCAATAAAATTCTAAAGTGTTCATAACATATGACCTGCTAGTGAACATTAAATGTTTGAATAGAGATGAGACAGTAATAGTAAATAAAAAATCTTTTGCATTGGCTGTTTCCTTTCACTAAGACATTATATTTTTATTTTGAATTTTAGAAACTGTCATCTTCAGAATTGGCCAAATTGATTATTCTCTTTACATGCTACAAAGCTTGACCTCCTTGGTTGGAAGTCCTTAGAGTTTTGAAGATACTTAAGAGCATATTGAATGGAAGAAACAAAGAAAGGCAGAAATATAAAAGTAGTGGTATTTTTAAAATACATGTAACCATTCCAAAGCACTTTCTTATTAATTATCTCATATTCTCACGTTCTCATTCATTCATTCACTCACTCAAGCATTTAACAGACAACTCTTGAGCACCCTCTCTGTGCCAAAATCAGCAGTAGACACTTAGAGGTGGCAATCAGAAAAGCCCATCACTGTTTCAAGAAATTGTCACAGTAGGGCCTGGGTGGTGAGGTTTTTGTGTGTGCTCCAAATAACAAGGAAAATAAGACAAAAAATGTGAAGCCACTTACTCAAGGAAACAAGTCATTAGTATCTGACAGGGCTGAAACATTAACTAAGCTTTCTGGCTTAAATTAGAAACCCCAAAGTTTGTAAGATAGTGTATTTAATACAGGTCTCACTGGCATATAAACCCAAAATACTGATTTTTGAGCCAATGAGTTTACACTTTTGTGGCCTCACCCAATGGGTGTTTTTCTTTGACTTCATCCAACTTGAGTTTGAACTCGTCTACATATCTTAGCTGCAAACACTAAATTTCAGTCATATTTCAATCTTTTATTTAGAAGGAGACTATACATCACTCTGCTACTGAGATTCTGAATGGCCTTCACATATTTATTGTTCATTTATTATTTGTTCATTCCTGGTTTCTTCATTTTAAATATTCAAATGACTGGAATAAAATTTGAAGCATTAATTCTGATAAACACAAGATGGGGGCCAGATTTATGCCATCATCATCTTTATGAAAGGCAGGACAGTAATGTGTCTTGCAACAGGTTTTCTGCTCTTTTAGTATATTTATTCCTGAAAACTGCCTGGTTCCAGCCATAGCTAGACCGTTAGTGTAAAATACCAGGGGAAATGTCTTCGCTGCTCACTCAGAAACTTTGTTTGAGTTCTTGGTAGAGTGGGACCAAAGTTAGACCCAATTTTATTTTATCCATACCCGGGTTTACTGACAGGCAGAAATGAATTGATTTGCGGGAATTTTTTTTTTGTCACAGCCACCTCATTAAAACATTTAGCCAGGTTCATTCATGGAACTTTGAGGAGATGCCTGAGCAAACTGGTTTTCACCATGGCCAAGGTTCATGACCACCTCTACTTCCAGACCTTCACTGTCCTCCTGTCCAGCCACACGGACCTCAAGCTGTGCTCTAGGTGCTGTTTCCATATCTCCCCCTATGGATCTGCTGACAGGTTTAGCTTTTCCAGTTTGCCCTTTGGTGCTGTCTTTTTTTTCTTTCCAACTTCTATTTTAGGTTCAAGAGGTACGTGTGCAGGTTTGTTACATGGGTAAATCACATGTCATGGGGGTTTGGACATTTGACAAAATGTACAGGTAATTTTGTCACTCAGGCAATCAACATAACACCCAATAGGTAGTTTTCAATCCTCATCTTCCTCCCACCCTCCACTCTCAAATAAGCCCCAGTGTCTATTTTTCCTCTCTTTGCGTCTGTGTGTTCTCAGTGTTTAGCTCCCACTTATAAGTGAAGTATTTGGTTTTCTGTTCCTGCATTAATTTGCTTCGGATAACGGCCTCCAGCTCCATCCATGTTACTGCAAAGGCCATGATCTTTTTATTTTTATGGCTGTGTAGTATTCCATGGTGTGTATGTACCATATTTTCTTTACCCAGTCCACCACTGATGGGCATATAGATTGATTCCATGTCTTTGCTATTGTGAATAGTACCACAATGAACAAGCATGCATGTGTCTTTATGATAGAACAATTTATATTACTTTGAGTATATACCCAGTAATAGGATTGCTAGGTTGAAAAGTCGTTCTATTTTAAGTTCTTTGAGAAATATCCAGACTGCTTTCAACAGTGACTGAACTAATTTACATTCTTGCCAGCAGTGTATAAGTGTTCCTTTCTTCTACAACCTTGCCAGCATCTGTTATTTTTTGACTTTTTAATAATAGCTATTCTGACTGATGTGAGATGATATCTCATTGTGTTTTTGATTTGCATTCCCCTAATGATTAGTGATATTGAGCATTTTTTCATATGCCTGTTAGCTGCATGTATGTTTTATTTTGAGAAGTGTTTGTTCATGTCCTTTGCCCATTTTTTAATGCAGGTTGTTTTTTCTTGTTGACTTAAGTTTCTTATAGATTCTGGATATTAGACCTTTGTCAGATACATAGTTTGCAAATATTTTCTCCCATTTTATAGGTTATCTGTTTATGCTATCCATAGTTTCTTTGTTGTACAGAAGTTCTTTAGTTTAATTATGTCCCACTTATCAATTGTTGTGGGGTTTTTTTGTGATTGCTTTTGGAGTTTTTGTCATGAAGTCTTTGTCCAAGTCAATGTCCAGAATGGATTTCCTAGGTTTTCTTCTAGGGCTTTTATGGTTTTAGATTTTTACATTTAAGTCTTTGATCCATCTTGAGTTGATTTTTATATATGGTGACAGGTAAGGGTCCAGTTTCAATCTTCTGCATATGGGTAGCCAGTTATTCCACAACCATTTATTGAATAGGAAGTTCTTTCCCCATTGCTTGCTATTGTTGGCTTTGTTGACAATGACATGGTTGTAGGTGTATGGCTTTATTTCTGAGTTCTCTAACCTGTTCTATTGGTCTATGTGTCTTTTTTTTCTACGAGTACCATGCCATTTTAGTTACTGTAGCTTTGCAGTATTGTTTGAAGTTGGGTAGGGTGATGCCTCCAGTTTTGTTCTTTTTGCTTAGGATTGATTTGGCTATTCAGGTTCTTTTTGGTTCCAAATGAATTTTAGATTTTTTTAAATCTAATTCTGTGAAAAATGTTGGTAGTTTGATAGGAATAACATTGAATCTGTAAATTGTTTCAGGCAGTTTGGTCATTTTAACAATATTAATTCTTCCTATCCATGAATGTGGAATATTTTTCCATTTGTTTGTGTAGTCTCTGATTTCTTTCAGCAGTGTTTTATAATTCTCAGTGTAGAGATTTTTACCTCCCTCGTTAGCTGTATTCCTAGGTATTTTATTCTTTTTGTGGCTATTGTGAATGGGATTGCATTCTTGTTTTGGCTCTCAGCTTTGATGTTATTGGTGTACAGAAATGCTACTGATTTGTTTACATTGATTCTGTATCATAAAACTTTGTTGAAGTTGTTTATTAGATCTAGAAACCTTTCAGCAGAGACTGTGAGGTTTTTCTAGGTATAGTATCATATAGTATGGGAAGAGAGATAGTTTGACTTCCTCTCTTCCAATTTGGATGCCCTTTCTTTCTCTTGCCTGATTACTCTGTCTAGGACTTCCAGGATTATGTTGAATAGGAGTGGCAGCACCGGTTTTGTATTACCCTACAGTTCTGTAACTGCGAGCCTATCCCCCTGGGCTGTATTCTCATTCCTGAGAGAAAAGGTAAGACAGGAAGGAAAGAGTTTCTACCCTGTTCACAGTGTCTGGGCTACCCTTGGAATTTTCCCAGCTTGCTCTTTGGCACACTCTCCAAAAGAAACAAAGTTTCTGATCTGTCACATAGTAGAGTTGAAACAAAAACACAGACTATGGAGGGAGTAGGTAAAGTCTACCATTTATACCCTCTACTTTATGCCAGAAGCTGTATTTTACATGTGTTTCCTGTGGTGGTAATGATGATAATTCCCACTCTACAGATGAGGAAGCTGAGGTTAAAGGAGGATTTATGACTTGCCCAATGTCACATCACTTGTAAGTGCCAGACAAGAATTTGAACCTTACTCCAAATCTATACTCTCTCCAGGACAGGCTGCTTCTCCAAGACTCGAGCTAGACATACGCTCCTGGGAAGGGTACACGATAGGAGGAGGGGCAGTGGTACCCATGGAGTGGGTCAGGCAAGGAGCTGGCCTTGAGAATGTGCATGCAGTATGAGTCAGTGCAGTGTTCTAAGGGCAGAAGAATAGAAATAGGCAATGCAAGGAGTTCCAATGGACAAAAAGAAACCTGTCATTGATTTCCAGGGAACAGGCTTGATGTTGGAGTTCAGAGTCGAATGCTAATCTTGGAGGACAAGGGCAAGACCAAGGCAGGCTTCCTGTGCAAACAGCAGTTTGTAAAAATGGAGAATACAGTCACCAGGGAGCAAAGCACAGTCCTGCTGGGAGACTATGTTTTGACAACTGGGTCAGAATCATACAGAATCAGTGTGAGTCTCCTACCTGATGCCAGAGCTGTGAAATTCCCTCAACATATCTTCATTAACCAACAGCTGCAATAAAGGGGAGTATTTCACCTCCAGGCCTGCTCAAGAGATCTCCATGTGGTTCCTTTCAGCCACATCCAAGAATAGGTGCTGGCTGCTTTCCATTGTACATCCTTACCACTCCTACATTCATAAGGTCCACTCTTGGTCATGGGGAGCTTAAGATTCTTTTGAAATATTCAAAGTGTAGTGCCAATAAAGTGTAATACCAATGGGATTATAAAAGTCTTGGGATATATATTGAGTCTCTATGGCTGCTATTGATGAGACAACCGCCCAAAGAAAGCAGTCACCATACATCCTGATGAACAGGGCTCCCTAGAAAGGCACTTAGTCTTCTCCTGGGATCCTCTGAGCTTCTTTCTCCAATGTGATCATCCTCCAGCAGGACAACCTCATCTACCCTTTGGGTAGGTATTCCTATTCTTTAGCCATTCCTCCCCACATCTACTTATAATATGCTTTGTTTTTGTTATTTGAAATTCCTGAATTCTTGAAACTAAAAAAAAAAAAAAAACCTTGAAATGCTATTTTCTCTGATTCAAAATCACCTTAAAAATTCAAAGCTGAACATATCTCACATCCCTTTCTGTCTGCATTTATACAGTTATAGCCCTGCTTTAGGGCAGAGTGCATTGAAAGCTTTTCCTGGTTTATGAGTACTCAGGAGAGGTTAGGTTCAAATCAATACAAGGGAAAGATACGTGAGTTACTATAATATCACCTCCACTTTAACCATAAGATAACGCCCCTTTCAGGAAGATTAATGTGTGCTGTTTAGATTGCATCTTGAATGAGGCGAAATCTGTGTGTGGGTTATAGTCCAATGGCTGTACCTTTGAGAGCAAGAGGACCATGCATCTCCAGCTAGAAAATGTGAAAATACAGCAGCCACTAGCCAACTTCCCTGAGCTACTAGGGCACAGGAGTAGCAGTAACTGATATATAACGTAATGAATTGCCCTGTCATACCTTAATTCAATCTATATATACTTGCTTCAATGTGCTTCTTAATGTTTGCCAGGTCTCCCTAAATATCCATGTGGCAGAGGGAGGATGAGGAAGGGAGTTATTTTCTCCCTAAAGAGAGGTCCTTAATCAACTATCAGCTCTTGATGAACAAAAGGCATTGTCCAACAAGATGCAATAAATGTTTTGTATTAGGCGAGGCAGCCCCATTTTTGATGGTTTGGGGGAAAATACTGGTTTTGGAGATGCTGATTGTTTCCAATCTAAGCAGTTTTGTTCAGTGTTTTCCCCAAATTGTCATCTGCTTTATCGCTAGGGGTATTATTCTCACTTGGCCTCAGTACATCAGTTTGAAGCTGACTGGAACAGTTTTGTCTGAAATAAAGTTCCCACAATCACACTCTCTTCTTATCCCTTGTGGGTGGTGACAGGATGCCAAGGTGAATGTTCAACAAAGATGCCATCAGCCTCCTCTCTCTGAATGCTCTGATTTCTCAAAGCCTCCCATCAGGGTGTTGGAAGTTCCTCAGACAGTGAAAGGAATATAGGTCCTGGACTCAAATTGGAATCCTGTTCTGCCATTTGCTATCAGTGAAACTCTGTTTCTTGAAATCCTTGAGCCTTGGCTTCCTGACCTATGAGAAGGGACACAATCTTACTGAAGGAGGTATTGACATCAGGTCCATAACAAATATATTGATAGGTGATATACCACCACCAACTGAGTAAGATGCTTCATTGGTTTGAGAGGCTTACTGGAAAACTCGTGAGAAGTTGGGATGGGAGTGAGAGAATGACCAAGTCAGAAGATACTCCAGGGTAAGCCGGGAAGGAGAGAAGAGGTAAATGTGAAAAAGGATATTCAAGCCTGAAAGAGGACACCTGGGCCCAGAGCCTGAATGTGAGAGTAACTGTTTGTCTGCTGCTTCACAATTATCCACCTCTGGATCACATTTGTGCATGAGGGCTTAGGAAGCCAGGGGCCTCTTTAAACTGGTGCATTTCTTGTGCCTTTATCTTCATGATGTGCTTTGCCCTCTAAGGCTTCTCTTATCAGCACATTGTGGTTTTCTGCCAAATGCAGAGAAACCATGACATTTGCACTGTTTCCTTTGTCTTTGAGTTTTGAAGCCTGGTATATTAGTCTGTTTTCATGCTGCTGATAAAGACATACCCAAGACTGGGCAATCTACAAAAGAAACAGGTTTAATGCACTCACAGTTCTATGTGGCTAGCAAGGCCTCACAATCATGGCAGAAGGTGAAAGGCACATTTCACATGGTGGCAGACAAGAGAAGAGAACTTGTGCGGGGAAACTCCCCTTTATAAAACCATCAGATCTCATGAGACTTACTCACTATCACAAGAAAAGCATGGGAAAGACCAGCCCCCATGATTCAATTACCTCCCACTGTGTCCCTCCCATAACACATGGGAATTGGGAATTGTGGGAGCTACAATTCAAGATGAGATTTGGGTGGGGACACAGCCAAACCATATTACCTATCCCCTTTCTCTTTCTCTAGCATCTTTTGGACATTTATTGTGTACCAACTAAAATTCTACCCCACCAAAGATGTTAATTTCCTGGAACAAAAGAAAATGATAACTGAAACATGTCTCAAAAAAAGTCAAAAGTTTTAAAGAATTTATGCTTTGGGCTGTCACAATATATTCAAATTCTACTGCCTCATAGCCCCAGACACTTCTCTCCTTTTCTTCCCTCCTTCTGTAGGACCCAGGGCCATTTCACAGGGCCTTCTTTGGAGGTGAAAAAAGGAAAAGACAAAAATTTTTTAAAGCTAGAATAGAAAGAAGCTGATTGGGTTATTTAATTTACTAGCCTTGGGGAAAGAGATCTAGGTAAGAAAGAAGAAATTAGACCAGATCAGTTAAAAGACAGTTTCTGAACTGCTCTTGGGTTTTGTTTTCCCTCCCTGTTTGCTTTATCTCTTATCAGCCAAAATAATTGAGGCAAATGTTAGGCCAAGATTTTAAGAGAGGCCCTCACAAGTAAAAGAAACTGCTGTTTAACAGTTGGCTTGAAAAAAGACAATTTTCAAAGAGGCTACATAGTGTGGTGCTATAATTTTAGATTAGTTGTAATCAGGAGAAGCATTTTAAGAACAATATCTAGTTTAGAACTTCTGTGTATTGCAGCAGAGATAGTGGACGAGAGGCAGGGAAGTGAAAGGCAGCAAAGGGTCTCCCCAGCTTAGCTTTCCTCTAGTTCTTGGTAGAAGACCCTGAAGCACCAAAGAGAAGGACTGCAAGGGACATCATATTGCATTGTCTTGGTAATTTTGTGAGCTTCATGATCAGTCAGGCCTGGGTTTAAATTTCCTCTCTGTTATTCTGCCAGTTAGAATGCTTTTGATTGCAAGTAACAGATTATGCAACTATTTATTGATAAAATTATGAATATTACTGTGAACCCAGGTTCTTTCATACTTTTGCTCCTTCATTTAAAGCATGTTGGTTTTCACATTCAGGCTGGTCTAACCTTATAGTAAGATGGTGGCCACTGCACAAGACATTATGTCCTCACTCTCCTGTGTCTACAAGAAAGAGGTCCTTTTTTTTTTTTCTTACCGTTTTTTTCAGCGTAGAAAATATATTGCAGAATTCCCTCAGCAGGCTTCCCCTGCTGTATTTTTGGCTGGAACTAGATAGAGCCTCATCTCTAAATCAGTCACTGACAAAAGGCCATTTGGGGTTTTAACTAATCATGGTTCATCTCTGGGTAGGTCCCCAGCTTCTATGAGGACCCTGCCTGCTGGAAGAAGCTGGAGTTCTGTTAGCAAGGAAGAAGTGAGTAATGACTATTGAACAGGCAATCAAGTGTCTAATAATCCTAAGCCTCAGTTTCCTTAATGAAATAGTCTCAAAATATATGTTTTAAAACATTAGGCACAAAGATATGTATCACCCTGCTATCTTAAAAGAGCAGACATTTGGATGGCACTGAAAATGTCCAGCAATAGGAAATGGTTAAGTAAGTTTGGTTAAGAAACTTAATACAGTATTAAGTAACCATTTAAAATATTTGTAAAGAGTTTTCTTAACAGGTTAAAATGTTTACAGTAGCACATGATGTAGAAAAACAGGATGCGAGATTTCACAGTTATTAAAAATCAAGACCCAAACAAGATGCTTTGGATAGGGGATTTTTAAAAAATAGATGATACAAAAGATATCAAAATTCTATAGTGGCTATATGTGCATAATTAGATCACAGGTGATTTTTTTTTTCATTTAAGTCTTATTTAAATCTTCCTTGGCCAGGAGCAGTGGCTCACGCTTGTAATCCCAGCACTCTGGGAGACCAAGGCAGGCGGATCTCTTGAGATCAGGAGTTCGAGACCAGCCTGACCAACATGGCAAAAGCCTGTCTGTACTAAAAATACAAAAATTAGCCGGGCATGGTGGCACACACCTGTGGTCCCAACTACTTGGGAGGCTGAGGCAGGAGAATCGCTTGAACCCAGGAGGCAGAGTGTGAAGTGAGCTGAGATCACACCACTGCATTCCAGCCTGGGTGACAGAGCAAAACTCTATCTCAAATAAATAAATAATAAATAAAACTTCATTAATAATCACATATTGTTTTATCATTTTAAAAACAAACATTAATTTGTACATTTATTAAAATAAAACAGGTATGTCCTTGCTGATGGCAGCTAAATCTTTCCTTAAATCCCTTATATTCCTCTCTACAAATATGAAAATGCTGGCCTAACAAACCGTGGCTAGTTTTTCTTTATTATACTACCTCATTTGGCAGGCTACGAGATTCCAAATTGAGAGTCAACGGTGTTTTGCCTATGCTGGATTTTATGACATTCTGTATTGCCTAATATGTACTAGATACCCAGTAAAGTGCTTAACTAATTCTATCCCTTTGTCATCTACCCAAGTGTTAGTTCAGTCCAAAAGAGTCAATACATTCTAAAAAGGTTTAAATAGATTTTTGGATTCGTGATCACTTCCTAGTTCTTAAAGAAACACTGTCTCCCATGGGTGTCTGTTAATGCTGTATACAGGCAGCAAGCACATCAGCCCAGGGGCACTTCAGTAAACAGGGCTCACTGGGCAGCTCTATGTCCAGGCTTTCCCCAGGCACATTCATGATGTAGTCTATAAATCATAAGCTCTCAGAAGGGGCAAAACACCAACAGAAACACAAATGGAAGAAATGTGCTAATATTAAATGACATGCTGTGAGATCTGGGGTAGATAAACATCTCACCCCACTGCACTCATTTTTTCCAATTGACGGAGCGTTACCAGGCCATCTGTATTTCACAAATCTGAGTAGAAACACAGGTGACTTCACATCAGTAATTTATGCTTCAGAGGAAATTATGGCTTCTTACACTTCTGGCTCTCTGATAAGTCAGCTCGAGGAGATGCATATAGGGATTCTGATACTATCAAGAATCCCTAAGTGAAACTCCCTTGCATGTGACTAATGTGGAGATGCTGCCTCATAGCTCACACATTCTGTACACACTGTCTGACAGAGGTTTTCTATCATCACATTTACTGTGGCAACACTCTTGAGATCTCACTCTGTAGTTCCTTACTAATACCAATTAATGGTTATAATAAAATTTATTGAATCTGTTTATTCATTTAACATGGATTTTTTTCAACATCTGCTATATGCTAGGCACTTTCTTGGCATGGTGTAGGTATGGGCTAAGTAGCCTTCTCTTCTTTGTCATTCCTTCCTCTCAGTGGCACTGAAGATGGTGCAGCCAAGCCTTGTGATGCTGCCACCTATAACAGCCCAACTCCTGCTTTGAGGAATGATAAAACTGTTAAACCTCCTGGGACATCTCCCTCCACGAACTTCACTGTAGCCTCACTCCGTTCATTGCCTGTTCATTTGCGAATGGATACTGAGTGCTGTGATGGCTCAGAAAAGAGCCATAACTCTCTTAAAATTAATTGAACTCAGTGTAAATGTATGGGCAAAAATGACTGTATCTGGAAATGTGTGTGTGCTCAAACAAACAAACAAAAAAAATTAAAAACCCAGCTCCAACCTCTAACTGTGTAGCAGGAGTCTGACATGGAACCAGGAGCACATGAAGCCATTTTCAGATAGTATCAACCTAATCAGAATGGGGATTTTGAAAAATCAATGTGGATTCTGCATCCAAATTTCCTTGTCACTGGCTGTCTTAATCTGTTTGTGTGTTGCTATAAAGGAATACCTGAGGCTGGGTAACTTACAAAGAAAACAGGTTTATTTGGTTCATGGTTCTACAGGTTGCACAAGAAGAATGGCACCAGTATCTGCTTCTGGTGAGGTCTCAGGCTGCTTCCATTTATGGTGGAAGACAAAGGGGACTGGGTGTGTGCAAATCATATGGCGAGAGAAGAAGCAAGAGGGGAGAGGGGAGGTGCCAGGCCTTTTAACAATCAGCTCTTATGGGAAGTTACAGAGTAGCAACTCTATTACTCACCCCTCACCCTTCACCCAAAATGGGCATTAATCTATCCATGAGGGATCTGACCCCATGACCAAAACACCTCACATTAGGTCCCACCCTCAACATTCGGATCGAGTTTCAACATGAGGTTTGGAGGGTCAAACATACCAACTATAACAGTGACAAAACAAAACAGAACAAAACAAAATGCTGTATGGGTGACAAAGCGAGACTCCATCTAAAACAAATAGAAACAAAATAAAATTTTAAAGATTTTTTATTGTTTCTTCAACATCTATTGATCGAGCATCTATTATGTTTCAGTCTCTTCACCAGATACTGAGGATATAGCATTAAAGAAGTCAGACGTGCTTCTTACTTTCATGGAGCTTAAACTTGGTGAGAGAGAAACTTTAACAAATAGGCATATATAAATATGAAACTATAATCAAGATAAGGACTATCATGGTCATCAGACACTGCTTTTAGCCATGACTTTTATAAACAAATTTTCATGTCTTCTGGCTTGATCAATAAAATGAAATATCCAACTTTTGAAAAGATATGTAATGTCTCCATATTTTTCAGGCACACAACTCTAGCACATAGCTTTTGAGTGATGTGAAGTCTTTAGAAGTTTAGATTCAGGGATCCAAGTCATGACATTTAACCCAGTGAGATAGGTAAGTCAGGGAGGTTTCCAAAGATGAGAATTTTTGGTGGCAAAACCACAGTATAAACTGGACCTTAGGTGGCAGAAATCTCAGAATATCAACTTTAGAAATTGCCTTTGCAGGCTTACAGACAAGCAGGTGGTTATAAGCACTGAGTGAAGGATCCCAGCCCTCCTTAAGCTATCCCAGACCTTCACTCTGGCCTCTAGAAGAGTGCCCCCATAACACCCTGGCCTCCTGGAGCTTCCTCTAGGTCTTGGCCCTCTTGTTGCTGGCTCCACCTTGTCTCCCCTGGTTGCTAGCTCCACCTATCTCTGATGAGAGCTCCCCTGCAGCTCGTCTGCCTCACTGAATTTGTGGAGTGATGAAGTTCTACCCCGCTTTGCGGGGAGAAAGGGAAGTCACTATACCCGCAATTAGACAGGAAGTACAACTTCAGTATTTCTTGGCCTTCCTTCCCTCCTCTCTAACCTTAAGCTTTTATTGAAGGCAGTGATGGTTATTGTTGGTTGTCTTCTCAGAAGGGGTGTCTGTCTCCTGATTTATTCTTTTCTTTAAAATGTGGAGTAAATTCCAGGACAACAGGAAAAGCTCCCTTCAAAATCCTTTCACATTTGCAATACACTAACGCAAAAATAGAAAGTCAACAATTGCTTGTGAAGACATGTTGGGTGAGTGAGTGTGCAGAATACATTTTGTGCTGTGAAAACAAACAAAAGACACACAGACACACAAAAACTCCTATATATGGAAATGACAGAACTTGAGGTCGTTTCAAGGTTGAGGTTCTTGCTTTTTTACTGAAGTGAATGCATCAAGAACTGTGCAAACTCATCTTGAGTGTTTTGGGGCCCAGAACAAGAGTAGTTTAATTCTGAGAATAAATTGAAGCTTTAATTTTATCCCATTAGCCAAAAAAATGTAGATAAGAGAAAATAAGTTATGTTCTTCTCATAATACAGCTCCTATTATTTGACTTATAGCGGGCTATTTCAAAGGTGGGATAGACAAAAAATCACTCATAGTTCAACCCAAAATAAAGGAGGGAAGAAGCTCTTTCCTTCCACTAACAGTTGCAATGTAAATTTTAAGACCAGCAAAACTGTTCTTCCAGGAAGGATAGGCAGGAGAAAGTAAGCAAATAGGAATGAAGAAAGAGGTTTTCTGAACATACACACAGTATTGCTTGTCCTTTTAGTTGTTCCATCACCACTTGTTGAAGGTAGCATTTTATCCTCGCCTCCTATACAGGTTATCATCACTGCGGCTTGAAGTGTCAGGTAATCATTTTTTTCTGGACATAACTCACATCTAAGCTCCTTTCTAACTTATAAGAAAATGCTTGAATCTTTCCTTTTCAGCACAGACCAATCAGCTGGTAGCCATCTTGTCTGCAAAAGTAGCTGTTAGGTTTAATACAGTTAAATCTTCACTCAAACATACACCTTCATTTACAGATGGCCATGTCTCATAGTTTTTCAGAGGAAGGGAACCGGGCACTTGAGTTTTCTTCACATCTTCCCAGAACCTTGAGAGAAACAACCACCAGTAGTATTTCTTAATTTCACTTGTATAGCAAATTGATTTTAGAGCTTCCCAACCCCATCCCTGAGCTTGCCCTCTGATGAATGAAGTGTATTCAAGGAGAGGAACAGTGAAATAAATAAGTTATCTCACCTAACACTAGGGAATCCATAAGCAAGGGAAAACTGCATGGGCAATAAAATATAGGTTTTTCTGACAGCACGAATGGATGAACCCAAGCTGGAATGAGGTCAAGGCTTGCAGACATTTGTTGTAACTTCACATCCTCGTGCCAGATGTGGATTATAATATAATTACAATTGGCTCTGCCTAGTTCTCAGGCCTATTAAATATTTAAAACATCTTTTTCTAGCATATATAAGATGCAAAGAACTTAGAATTTTCCTTCAGTAAGCAAATCACTTTAAGAGAGTTGGAGGTAGCCTTTCTCTGGAATCATGGCCTAGTTTGGGGCTTGAGTTTCTTTCCAGGGGACTCATTCAGTATTCATGTCCAATCTGGTTGCATGGCAGGGAAGTGTGGCATTGAGTTTGTGGTGCAGAGGATAAAAAAACAAGGCAAAATCATCCATGACAGCAGAAGGAAATAAATTCAATTTTTTCAAAATCTTTCAACAGCTGATCAGAGGGAGCCATTCCCATCCTGCTTGAGATGAAGCTGTTTAGCAGACATCCCCCAGGACTCTTCTGATTAAAGCAGTTTTTGCATAGTGTTAGCCAAAATCTCAGCCAGTTCAAAGTCCTTTAAGTACTACACTTTCTTAAAATTGAAAGATTCTATCTGATACCAAAACAGCACTGGATGGAAAGAAAAGATCAACATGAAGGGCATTTACACAAAGGAGGATTCTGATTCAATTTCTGTCCCAATGGATAGATTCATTCTGGGCTCAGGATATTACATTGCCGATAGAATATTTTTTCAAGTCTCTGCTGTATGCAGTTTAGCTTGTCGAGTGGTCTGTTTTCATTTCCACTTCTCCATGCAACAAAAGAAATTGAAATTCCTGGGCTCTGACAGCTTTCTGGGCTGCCTTAGTGACCTATACAAGCTGTCAGAAGTCACGACCAGCTCTAGAATGAGTGGGTGCAAATGTTCCCGAAAACCAGCTCTTGGTTTTCTGCAGAAATGGTGGGAACAAGAGAGCATTGACACTTCTGATATGTGAAAAACTGTCTAAGCCTGATTACAATCCTAAATCTCAGCCTCCTCTTCCACTAGGTATTTGGATTCCAGATATACTAGTCAGTGGCTGCATTGAGCTACTTTTTATAATCTCTATGTTACTCTTAACTAGACTTGAGTGGAAAAATGAAGTGGCAAAACATCAGAAAAGCCTAAGACCCAGACAGTCCAGAAATTGGATACTTGGTTTCCAAATAGAATACCAGGGTGTAGGCTCTGTGTGGTAAGGGTACTTGGCTTTATGGATGCAAACACTCAAAATGTGTTTTTCCTAAAAAATAAATAAATAAATAAATAAATAAATATATAATCTGAGTGTGAATGTTTGGGGTAGCAGGGATTTGGGGAACTGAAAAGAAATCTTTCTGGCTCAAAGTTATCCTTATGGTAAGCAGATTGGGTCTGAAGCTATTGTTTTGAAGAAATATTCACTGAAGCAGCAGAGGAAAAAATTGTGGCTGGGGCTTTTTTTCCTTTCAGGTATGATGAAGCATGAACAGTGTCCTCTCCTTGCCCAAAGGGAAAAGGGGTCATTATTTCCCCAGCCTCTCAACTGTGCCCTAGTCAGGCCGAAGGGAGCCAACTGGGCTATTAATATGAAAAGATGCCACTCACAGTGTTCAGGCAGGTCCTGCCCTTCTTTATTGAGTCCTGCATGTTTTGTAATCAATCTGAACTGGTTTTCTTCAGTTTTCTGTAAAGGGCCACCTCTAAATAGATGTCTCAATATGGTTTGTCCCTCCTAGATAGAGGGCAAACCAAGTGATGAAAGATCTTTTCCTAAATATCTAAATACAGTACACACACACACACACACACACGCTCACACTTAGCACCTTCCACACTGTGTGCCTTTACTATCCCTTAATTAGAGTGTCATAGGTAAGTTACAGGCAAAAAAATCAAAGTCAAAGAGAGAGAGAGAAAGAGACTTTTTCCCTTCCTTGCACACATATATTAATGCCTACGTTTAGATTTCAACGTTTCTGTTATGATTTATTGTGGATACAACATTAACAGG
Organism: Homo sapiens; assembly: GCF_000001405.40. Lineage (NCBI taxonomy): Eukaryota > Metazoa > Chordata > Mammalia > Primates > Hominidae > Homo > Homo sapiens. The sequence goes on along the minus strand of NC_000003.12, from coordinate 131,767,060 downwards.
CATCCACATAAGGAGAAAAAAATTACTTAAAACCCTGCTTCAACAACAAATCTAACTGTTTTCGTTTTTTCTATTCCTTTCCTGTCTCCATCCCAATGTTAGCAACATGTTATTTGCCATTTATCTTTGAGTTTACAGCAGCATTGCTTGTGATGAGCATCACTGATTTATTAGCAGATGTTCAGGATGAAAAAATGAAACACTAAATATGATTGTAAAATGTATTATGAACAGATGAACAAAACTGTGAAAACTGTGCATCTTAGAACTGAGGGAGCATGTGACTTGCGATTTCATTACATATATGATTTTTATCTGTTTTTTTTCTAATATAACGAGCATTTTGTACGGCTGTATCCAGTTTTTAGAATTCTAATTTTTATAACATCAAATTGTGTTATCAAGAGACATCATATTGGACATTCTACTTTGGCAAATATTTAATCCTCTTCCTAGTGCTGTGCTTGAGCTGGCTGGTACCAGCTTTTGGGAGCCAATTGTGCCCATCTCTTCCCTATTCTGAGTTCAGTGACTTCAAATTGGTAGCCGGAAATTGGCTATGATACAGGTATTTACACCTTGAAAATTGGCAAATGCTACAAACTTACCAGCACCACACTATCTATTTCTGTTATAAATAATACCATAATGACATCTTTGACTAAGCCTCTCAGTGTTTTTCCCTTCTGGTACCTGGAAGAATTCCACCACGGGGATAATTATAAAGAAGTAATAAACAAAAGCTAACACTTCTTGAGTACTTGTAAAACACTTTGCTTAATCTTCAAAACAACCCTACAAACTAGGTATTATTATTTGTAATTTCATTTTACAGATGAGAAAACTGAGGCTTAGAGTATTGGACAAAACTCAAGTAGCTTGGCCAAAGCCACACAGCTAATGAGTGGCAGGCCAGAGTCTGAAATGCAGGCAATCTGGTGCCGGAGGTTATCCCTTGAACCACAGTGCAGTCAGAAACATTCCCAGGACTCTAGCTCTGAGCACCAACAAATGGACCTTCTGATTCCCCAACCTATCAATTTCAAGGCCCACCTTCCCTGTCATAGCCCAGTAGAATTCTTATATTCTGCCTGGTCACCCTGATACTTGACAGTATAAAGCTGCTAGTGCCAGATCCACTTAGGATGTCCATTGTCTTTCTTGCACCATTTGGTCCCAATAGTCAGTAAGTTGAAGCTTCCCCTTCCTCATATGTCTTCAGCCCTCCTTCATCATAAGTTTTTCCTTGCAGCCTTCTTGGTGATGTAGCGATCCTTCACAGGGTTCTAGATTTGCCTCAGCTTCAGCGATGTCACTTCCATCAACACATAGATTTCTGTCTTTCAAATTCATTTTTTGTTCCTTAATCTGAGAGAAGTTAACTACTGCCTCTCTCAAAGACCACCAGAAAACCTATTGATCAAGCAAAGATGATTAGACTATAGTAAAGGACCTTGACAGAGTCCTCATAGTGTCTAAGATGGGGGAAGTGAAGGGAGAATCTTTAAAGGGTTTTAGGGTCTGGGCTAGGTAATTTAAGGCAGGTTTTACAAGACAGAGAACTGGTTGGGACTGGGAAGAATTTATGATGTAACAGCTTTTGACTGGTGGGCACAGTAAGGTGAGTGGCCTAAAGCAATTCTTGATAAGCAACGCCATTAGTCTTCATAAATAAGCTGTTAGGTTGTCTCATGGTCTCATCTTCCAAATACAAATATAGTATTTCTTAGATTAATTAACTAAATTACTTCTGGTTGTTCCCAGTAAGTTTAGCACAGAAAGAAATGCTTGGTTCCAGCATTGCTTATCACAGAGAGGGAAGCATGATATTTTCAGTTCCCAGGAAGAAGAGAGTTTTTCCACTAATGCTTATGAGTTCCCAAACAGGAAGGAAGCCTTGATCCCTTTGCTTCTCATAACAATCCTAATGTCACGATTCTTTTATGTGGTTTACTCTTTCCACTATTCACAGGCCCTCATGCTAGAAGCTTGAACCAAGTCTCCTTGAAGGGAAGATAATACCAGTGACAACACAAGGCATCATACACCTCCTTTAGGAGTTGCTGCCTCCTAAAATCCACTGGTATCCTGGATTTAGATCTATTCTACACTTTTCTGAGGGCCTTTTCTGGATGGAGTGACACCCAGGTCATTGACAGGAGGTCTTTGTTAAACAATCTCAGAGCTCTTCAATGTGTCTAGTCACTGTTTTTCCTCATAAGCCTGTTGGGAAGATGTAGAAATAGAAACCCTGGTAGCCTGTCCAGACTCTTAGGGTTCTACCAGTAAATACACAAATTAAATATTTCAGTCATATATTTCTTGCTAAATGGACAAAGCAGTCTTCTTCTTTTGAGTTGTGATCATAGGGTAATTTCCAGAAGCAGGACCATGGGGTAACAGGAAGTGAACATTTTCATAGTTCTTAATTTACACTGCCACATTACTTTCTATAGAGGAGTGTAACAATGTATACTGCTAGCAGGAATGTGGGAATGTACAATTTTCACCACAGTATAGCTAGCAATAGATTTTATGTTATATATGTTACAATTTAGTTATAATATTATTTTTCATATTCAGACTTCCAATTGTTTCATTTCTAAGGGGCTTAACATTTGAATATAATTTCTTCATAACAATAATTAGAACTAAGAGATAAGCAAAAAGAAAATTTCAGAAGCAGGTAAAGATGTCACCCCAAAATAACTACTGTTATTAGTTTGAAATATCTTGATAGACCTTTAAGGTTTCTTTTTATGGCTATATTCTCTTTTTTTTTTCCTATAAAACAGGGTCACACTGTTCATCCTATTTTATAACCTGCTTTTTTTTGCTCACTCACCCACCTGCATATTTTGAGCATTTTTCCACAAAAATATTCCATTGTTGTGAGATAACATAAATAGAGTTTGAGAACACTGAGTTTGGAGTCCAATTGCTGGGTTCAAATGCCTGGTCAGACATTTAGCAGCCATGGGACTTTGGGCAAGTTATTAAATCCTTGTGGCTCAGTTCACTCACCAGTGAAATAGGAATCATAAAAGTATTGCCTCATAGGGTTGTTATGAGGATTAAATTAAAATTTTAAATGCTTAGAGACCCTGGCACATAGGATGCACCCTGTAAGTGTTTGCTAAAAACAATATTGGATGCACCATAATTATTTAATCAAAGTCATATTATTGGATATTTCTGTTTTATTTTCCTTATATTACAGAAAATTCTGCTTTAGACATTTCTTAAAATAAATTTCTAAGTATTAAGTTGCTTGATCAAAGAACATACACAGTGTTAAGGCTTTTGTTATATATTGTTGAATTTTCCTCCAAAAAATATATCCCCTACACAGTGTAGGAGAATACTATTTATTCCTTGATGTTAGCAACCAATTTCCTTTCAGTCCTTTGCCTTCCTGAGACAGGTGAAATCTGGGAGGTAAACCTGATCTGATTAGAGAGCCAGAAGCACAATTTCCTGTGACCTCTTTGTTCTGTCCATCATAATCTCCTCATTAGCTAGCCTAGGACTTCATCTATGCCAGGGAACATTAGCCACTTATGTGCTATGTTAAAGTGAAAAATGATAACTGGTAATATTGCATTGAGGACTATCATTAACTTGAGCTAAATTACACTGCGACGTCTCCAGAAACACATGGAAGATTTGGAGGAAGAATAACCTAAGTTATTATAAGTACACAATAGCAGTAGACAGGTTTATCATAATGCACACTCATGAAGGGTACACTGCAGATCAGCTGCATCAAACGAAGACTACTTGAATGTGGCAGCTGTGATTCATGTTATCTCAGTTATTAAGTCAGTTGCTAAATCACATTCATCATAAGACTTTATTACTTGTCCGATTTGAAAAGGAAAAGCTCATTGTGCAAGAGGATAAAATGCTTGCTGCTTTATCATAATTAAAGACACCTGCATCAACTCAGAACTTCTTGGGGGAAATATAAATTACTATATCTGGAAGGTATCCTAGATGGTCATATCCTGTATAGAAAAGATTGTTTTTTTGTTTTCCTAAAAGAAATTATTTTGTGGTATATGTATTCTTTCCTGCCTTATCTCCTTCCCCATGGGAATCTCAGTGGGGTTGGTCTAGTTACTTTTGTGTATGTGGCTTTTTTTTTTCTGTCGTAGCATGTATAAGCTTTAATTGCAATATTGGAAAAAAAACCATAATAAACCTTTGCTGACACTCATGATATTCATAAAAATATCATGATATCCGTAAAATAATGATGCTATCTATAAAATAATGATGATATCTGTAAAAGTAATGATATTCTTTTATGTTGCTATCCAGGCTTCCTGCAGAAAGCAGTGAAATTTTACATAGCAAACCTTTCTATTTCAAGGGGCAGTTATAGAATTCTTACTTAATATTGCTCAGATGTCAGCTCTCTCCTATTCTGGTTACCCTTTTTCAGCTCAGTCAGATATAAATTCCATGAATCTACGTTTTTTTTCTCTCACATTCACTGTTCTATCTTCAGCAATGAGAATGATATGCGGTATACAGTAGGCACTCCATAAATAGATATTGAGAGAATCAATGGATGAACAAGCAAATGAATAACACTTGGTAAGTTAATCACTATGACCCTCAGTTTCTTCATCCACAAAATGGGAATAAAACTACCTGCATTCTAGGGCTTTTGTGAGGATTGGATGAAGTCTGGTATATCAAACATTTAATATACAACTTGGCAAATAGTAGCTATTAATTTGAGTGACCACGAGGTGATCTTAAGTAGATTTCAGACATGTCATATAATAGATTTAGACACTGTCTTCCTGGGTGCCCCTTAATATTCTGACATACAGAGAGAGAGAAGTTGTCAACTTCTAGCCAACTAAGGCTTCCTTACTTAGGATAAGTGAACTTAACCACAGAGAGAATGAGGATTTGATGGAAGGGGCAGGAGTCATGTATCTTAAAAATGTGTTTCCTTTTGAAGTAAGCATCAAAGTTGTTAGAAAGATCCTTAATAAAATAAGCATCATGGTGGGTCACTATTTATATTTCCCAAGCAGGGAAACCTCATTTGAGTGTTATCATTTGCTCCCTAATTGATTGACTATAAATAGTAATACAGCCATTTACCTCCTCTCAAAAAGGCCTCCTGATTGTTCATTTGAGCATTAAAGCAATGCTAATGCAGGGTTTTATCTCTTCTCAGCCAGATAATTATGATTTTTGAGAAATGCCCTGATATCCTACCTGCTTCTATTTCCACATCTGTTTTTTCTTTTTTCTTCACACTGTTATTGAGAGTTAACCCAAGACATCACTGTTGAATGGTAAAAGTTCTAGGGTCCCAAGAGAAGCAAATGAACTGAGAAACAGCAATAGCACAGAATTGTAAAGTTACTAAGTGCAGGTGTTAGTTGCCTTGGGCATCTGGTTAAGCTTGACCTAAACCATGTAATGATCTGGAGGAGTCGAGAGCCATCCCCAACCTCTGCCAATTGATAAAAGCTCCCAGAACCATACTTTTTGTGGGTTTCTACCTCTGCAACTTCCTTTTTGTCCCGTACTACCCATTTGTCATTCCAGACAACATGCCCAGCCTTTTCATAAATTTTCATTTTAAAAATTCCATTTTTCTCAAGTGTTTTGTGACTTTGGTAATCTGATTAAGAATGAGGATAGTGTTAGGCATGGTAGCTCATAGCTCATGGCTGTAGTCTCAGCTACTAAGCAGGCTTAGGTGGGAAGATGACCTGAGCTCAGGAATTCTAGGCTACAGTGAGCTATGATTATGCCACTATACTCAAGCTCAGGGGACAGAGCCAGACCCTTTCTCTAAAAAAAAAAAAAAAAAAAAAAGTACGAAGTGAGGTGGAAGAAGCCTTTTCTTATTTCATCACTTACCCTCTTACCCTCTTCCACTGTCTTCCTCTACCTTACTGTCTCCTCCCTCTTGAGGGGAAAAAGCAAATCTTACCCCAAGTCTCAAGCTAAACAATTCTATCCTCATTCAGGCCCTGAAGGCTAAGATTCTACTCTAAGATGAATTTATCTAGGCATCTTCTCAACAAGGAAAGTGTGTCTCTTCCCTCAGGGAATTCTTTATCCAGCCGCTAAGAAAATTAAATCATCTCCTTGAATCTTCTTCTCTTGCTTTGACCGAGCTCATATCCCCCATCTCATTTGCCATCCCTTTGACCCAATTACCACCCAAGATATGAGAAAGGATAGAACTGGTCATCTCATTTTGTGAAGAAGGGCTGACATTAGTTTGTTTCCAAATTGCCCTTTTAAAAAGAAAAAGTGTCACGTATTTAAGTGTTTTGGGGAATGAAGTATCTGGTTACTCATGGAGTGCAAATGAGAGCTTCCAAAGCTTTGCTGGGCAAATCATCCTCAATAGCAAAATGATTTATCTCATCTAATGAAAATGCAAATGGGTGTGTACCCTGTACCATAAGGGTGACTCTCTCTTTGGGAGAAAAAAATGGGGAAAAGTCTAGGCTTTCTGCTACATTTGGAGCTGAGATGACCTCCTAAAGTAAAGCATAGACACACGTTACATGGGAACCTGAGTTTGATTAGTAACCAGGAAACTGGAAATAGTTTTTTTTTCCTCCAAAAAATTACTTTAAGGAAGAGGTCAGATTCAAATACCAAATCTGCAATTCAATAGTTATGCCTACTGAGGCCAGTTAAAAATCCTCCCTGAGCCTCTTTTTCTTCATCTATCAAATAGTAGCAAGGATGCCCACTTCACAGAGATGCTGTGAGGATTAAGTTACATAATCATATAAAGTCTCAAGAAATGCCAGTCTTCTTTCCTCTCATAATTCAGACAAACTCCTACAGATATAACTTAGGCAGTCCTTACAGCACTGCATTTCACTTCAATAAATTTGTTCTTAAATTACAGCTATGATGGCATTCCAGTAATGATGGAATTGATTCTTTTTTAAAAAATCCACACTATTTGTACTCTGACAAACAAAGTTGTTACTAAGATTTTTACATAAGTGAGTATCACAGTAGGTCACAATGGCAAAGAATTTTCTTTATAGTGGAGGAAGTACTATTTCAGAAGTGGCAAAGCTACCTGGAGCTGATCCTATAAAACGGATGCCAGATAACTTTGTAATATTGATGACCTTCTGCCCTCCACAGCACTTAAGGTACATTAGAGTTCTGTCTTTAGAATAGCTAGTGAGGTGCCTAATAGATTTATTCACATTTGTGGGAGGAATAGTGCTGAAATTTTCTCATTTCTCATTATGCTAATTACTGCTTTAAAGAACTTCTCTGCAGATAGGTTTTAAAGAACCTATAAACTTTCTTTAAGCCATTATGCAATTTTCTATTAATTATCTTAACAATCATAAAGTGGTTGACAAAGCCTGGTAAGTACAACATCAGTACTTGATTGCAGTTCCATAATTTTCACCCCCCACTACACTTTTTTTTCTTGTAAGATGACTTCGTTGGGATCTGATCCAACTTCTTTCTTGCTTGGCCTAAGGGCTCCATGTCCATTTGTTTGCTTGAGTGGCAGGGGAAGGACAGTTGATGCTACCATTAGATGAGTATTAGGAACTCCACTTTATAAACTAGAGTTGAGCTTTGGGGAGAGAGAAGAACTTGCTAATCTTGGCTTGGTCACAGTAAATAAAAGAATAGAAGATGGCAAGAACTCAAATTTCTTGGCTTGTAGTGACAAGCTTCCTAAAGTAGGCTGATGAGGATTCTGATGAGGGTTCACACTGGCAGAGAGTTGTAGGATATCAAACCTACCCTGATACATGAATGGTGGCTTCATCCTAGAGTTCCAAAACCAACTGGTTACCCCTAGATCCTGCCAACCTCAGTGGCTTTTCAGCATCCATCTCGTTCATTCCTTGTTGCCCAATGACCTGTGTAAGGCATGATTCCTGATTTGTTCCATCCTTCTTGCTTGGATTCTTCTACTTTCTGGCATCCCCATCATCCTACTAGGGCTGGGCAAGATTCCCATTGGTATCCTAACCTGTTTGACTCTCTCTTTGAGTTAGGCACGTGTATTAGTATGTTTTCACTCTGCTGATAAATACATACCTGACACGGGGAAGAAAAAGAGGTTCAATTGGACTTACAGTTTCATATGCCTGGGGAGGCCTCAGAATCATGGTGGGAGGCAAAAGGCACTTCTTACATGGCAGCAGCAAGAGAAAATGAGGAATAAGCAAAAGCGGAAACCCCAGATGAGCCAATCAGATCTCTTGATACTTATTCACTATCACGAGAATAGCATGGGAAAGACCAGCCCCCGTGATTCAATTGCCTCCCCCTGGGTCCCTCCCACAATACGTGGGAATTCTGGGAGATTCAATTCAAGTTTAGATTTGGGTGAGGACATAGCCAAACCACATCAATCTGCCCCAGCCCCTCCAAATCTCATGTCCTCACTTTTCAAAATTAATCATGCCTTCCCAACAGTCTCCCAAAATCTTAACTCATTTCAGCATTAACCCAAAAATCCACAGTCCAAAGTCTCATCTGAGACAAAGCAAGTCCCTTCCGCCTATGAGCCTGTAAAATCAAAAGCAAGCTAGTTACTTCCTAGATACAATGGAGGTACAGGTATTGAGTAAATCCAGCCATTCCAAATGGGAGAAATTGGCCAAAACAAGACGTTACAGGGTCCATGCAAGTCTAAAAACCAGTAGGGCAGTCAATTTTTAAAGCTCCACAATGATGTCCTTTGACTCCAGGTCTCACATCCAGGTCATGTTGATGCAAGAGGTGGGTTCCCATGGTCTTGGACAGCTCTTCCCCTGTGGCTTTGCAGGGTATAGCTTCCCTCCTGGCTGCTTTCATGGGCTGGCATTGAGTGTCTGCAGCTTTTCCAGACAGATGGTGCAAGCTGTTGGTAGATCTACCATTCTGGGGTCCGGAGGACAGTGGTCCTCTTCTCAATGCTGCACTAGGTGGTGCCCCAGTAGGGACTCTGTGTGTCCCCAAGTTTCCCTTCCATACTGCCCTAGCAGAGGTTCTCCATGAGGGCCCTGCCCCTGCAGCAAACTTTTGCCTGGGAATCCAGGCATTTCCATACATCTTCTGAAATCTAGGCAGAGGTTCCCAAACCTCAGTTCTTGACTTCTGTGCAACTGTAGGCTCAACACCACGTGGAAGCTGCCAAGGCTTGGGGCTTCCACCCTCTGAAGCCACAGCCCAAGCTGTATGTTGTCCCCTTTCAGCCATGGCTAGAGTGGTTGGGACACAGGGCACCAATTCCCTAGGCTGCACACAGCACAGGGACCCTGGGCTCAGCCCATGAAACCACTTTTTCCTCCTGGGCCTCTGGGCCTGAGATGGGAGGGGCTGCCCTGAGGGTCTCTAACATGGCCTGGAGACATTTTCCCCAGGGTGTTGGGGATTAACATTAGGTTCCTTGCTACTTATGCAAATTTCTGCAGCCGGCTTGAATTTCTTCTCAGAAAATGGGATTTTCTTTTCTATTGCACTGTCAAGCTGCAAATTTTCTGAACTTTTATGCTGTGCTTCCCTTATAAAACTGAATGCCTTTAACAGCACCCACGTCACATCTTGAGTGCTTTGCTGCTTAGAAATTTCTTCTTACAGATACCTAAATCATCTCTCTCAAGTTCAAAGTTCCACAAATCTCTATGGCAGGGGCAAAATGCCACCAGTCTCTTTGCTAAAACATAACAAAAGTCACGTTTGTTCCAGTTCCCAACAAGTTCCTCATCTCCATCTGAGACCACCTCAGCCTGGATTTTATTGTCTATATCGCTATCAGCATTTTGGGCAAAGCCATTCAACAAGTCTCTAGGAAGTTCCAAACTTTCCCACATTTTCCTGTCTTCTTCTCAGCCCTTCAAACTGTTCCAGTCTCTGCCTGTTACCCAGTTCCAAAGTTGCTTCCACATTTTCAGGTATCTTTTCAGCAACCCCCTTACTTTACTGGTACCAATTTACTGTATTAGTCCATTGTCATGCTGCTGATAAAGATATATCTGAGACTGGGAAGAAAAAGAGGTTTAATTGGACTTACAGTTCCACATGGCTGGGGAGGCCTCAGGATCATGGCAGGAGGCAAAAGGCACTTCTTCCATGGCAGTGGCAAGAGAAAATGAGGAAGAAGCAAAAGCAGAAATCCCTGATAAACCCATCAGATCTCTTGAGACTTATTCACTATCACGAGAACAGCATGGGAAATACCAGCCCTCATGATTCAATTATCTTCCCCTGGGTCCCTTCCATCACACGTGGGAATTCTGGGAGATACAATCCAAGTTGAGATTTGGGCGAGGTGCAGCCAAAGCATATCAGCATACTTCAACTACCAACCCCGGGCCTCCAACTCAAGCCTTTGCTTTTGAATTGCTAAATTCCTGAGAACTGTCACTAATGGCCCAGTGCCAACTGGAGCCCCTTAGGTGTTGGCTGTCTCCACTGGGGTGATCCTCTCTTGCCATCTCCTGGCCAAAGCTGGCCACTGTGGCAGACCATCTATCTTCTGCCATTCATTTTTCCCATCCCAAGGTAGAGCATGGATGAATGATAATGCAATGTACCTTTCTAGGTGAAGGCACTTTGGAATGACTGGGGTGGTTTCAAAGTAAGAGAAGCTCTGCCCTATAATGGTATTTTCAGATTCAGGCTCTAGATAGTGAGATATCTATCCAGGCAGACTCCTATATGGGTATAGTAGACCCTGAAACTTTAGAATTCATATGGTAAAATTGGAAGTCTGAGCTAACAATAACAAATGCTCTTGAGAAAGACCTAGTCTTTTCTCAGCATCTGATAAGGGGGAGCTGAACAGGTGAAGTATCTAGCTGTTAATTTTATGAGGTCACTAACACTTTAGCACTCATCAAGATTTAGGGGCCTAATTACCAAGACTATTAAGACTTCTTGAGTTTGGCAAGAGAAATGTAAAAGTGTTTTAAACACCAAAGCTTTTTGTCATTTTTTACTCGCTGTTTCTTTATAGACACTGACTAAACCCTAGCTTAACACTTGGCATGATGTGCACTGCCCTTGGATACATTCTTGGTGGATGATAATAAATGGATCAGGAGAAATTAAATAATTTTATTGGCATTCTCTCAGAAGGAAATAGAAACTTTATGGAAGAACACAGTCAAAAATTTCTCTTGGATATGCCAGGAAAGGTTTGCAGTTTGAAATTGTTGCAGAGTGCATCTGGAAAATGCTTCAAAATACTAGCAACCCTGAGAGTTTCCAGAATAAAAATGTCTAATGTGATGGGATAGGTGAATCCTAATATGATTTATTTTACAATAATAATGTAGACAAGTGGCCTTTGTATTCAACAAATCCCATTACAAAACACACAAAGGAAGTAATCAACATTAGAATGTGTGAATTCTGACTAGATCTGATGCCTGGCTTCTGAATATTAAGAAACCTGTCAAACTCACTGTGACTCCCAGCAAAGCAGCTGTCAGATTTATGGTTTCTGAAAACCCAGTGTAACAGTAATTGATTTGTAATTGTTTTGTATTCTTTCATCCCTGCAGGTTATAATAGAGGCAGTGGATAAAATATCAATTAGTTTCTTGGTGTAAATACAAGTAAAGTCAGTGGTAGCAGTTTTCAAATTTAATTTTTTTAACATCTGAGGAGGAAGGAGTTTATTGTAGTTCAGCAATAGTCATCTGTCACAGGTCCGTATGGCTGTTTTCATAGTAGTTGCAACCACTGTCTCCTCCCCTATGGAGGTTTGGGCTGCCTTTTCTTATTCAGCCAATAGCTTAGTTTATACCATTCTATAGCAGATTATGTACTCACAGCTCCCTTAGTGGCTCAGTTATTTTCTCACAATGTATCTAGCAAAAAAAAAAAAAAATTACCTATTCCATTTATTAGGTAGTTAGGTCCCAGCAACTGAGCAAGTCATTTGAAAAAGTAATGCATATAAATTTAAGGAAAAATAATTTAAATTTTACTCTTTAATAATCATATTTATGTATTTATAATAGTATAATATAGGAATGTGTTCAACTTTTCGACATACACAATTTATCATATCTTGAAATCATATCGGACCCCACCACCCTCATTTCCTGTTCCATATTTAAGCAAACTGCCAAAACTCTAGTTTCACAGAGACATCATGACATTGAAAAGAATATAGTAGAGTAACTTAACATTGAAAACATAAATTACTTAAAGATAGTATTTAACAGGGTATTCATCAAATACAAAATACCTCTGTGTTTCTCTTGAAAACATCTGATGTTATCCCTGAGTTCACTGTGGTGCCCAGGGGTGCCTTGGTTTACCCAGTTTGGAGCCATGACCCATAGCTTCGTGGCACAGGAGCACCTGATTTATACAACTTCAACTATACTCTTTTGCTGTTGGAAGCTATTCTCAGGTTCAGTGTTACACATTTTTAATACAACATGGTCCCTAAATGTATATCACCTAATTCAACTTATCCACATACATACAAAGAATCAGAATCTATTCCAACACAGGGGGAAAAGTTAGTTGTTTTGGACTTATTGAGAGATAGTATATCTATATTTGGTATGTGACTTAAGGTATATTTTTAACTTTTAAATGTTTTTCGAATACATGGTAGTCACACACACACACACCATTTTACATAAATATATAATTGTGATCTTGTCATCACCTTTTAAAAGAGCAATCTCTTTTTTTTCTTATACTTCTTTGTTTGGTTCCACCCTCTTTTTTCTCTCTCTTTCAATATATATTCCTATTCAAATGTAAATAACTTGGAATATAACCTTTTTGGTTTTTCTCTTTGCCCATGTAATCTTATATAGATATTGACACACAAAATAATATGGACACTGGTCATTGATTTATATGATGGAAACACAGTGCCTATCATTTCTTATACCTTGCTTTTTTCCATAAAAAAAATACCTTATGAAAATCTCTGCAAGTCAACTGATATTCACTCTTTCAAATGGCTGCATAATCTCCCATGGCATAATAAACCACCCATTATTCTCCTGCCTATGCTCTTGTTGATGGGCATTCATCATGTTTCCAGTTTATTTGGCACTAAAAACAGTGGTATAGTTCATATATCTCTTCATATTTTTTACATGGTGGTGGTTTTATTTCTAAGGGGTATATTCTGAAGTACAGAATTGCTGGGTTGGAGGACGTAGTTAACATTTAAAAAAAAATTTAAAGTAGATGTTGCTAATAGTTTGCCCCAAAGTCTGTAATATCCACATTCCCACCATTAATGTATGAGTAATCTTTGGTGCTATATCTCAAGCAGAATAGATTTTATCTTTTAAAAAAATTTTAACCAGTCTGATGGAAGTCAAGCTATATGTATTGTTATTTCAATTTGCAATTTCTTGAACATTACTGACTTTGAGCATTCTGAAATATGTTGGCTATTTGGATTTTTTATTTCTGTGAATTATCTGTTTATGTTCTTTACCCAGTTTTCTGCTATATCGTTCATCTTTCTCTTAACAATTTTCAACATTTTATTATACATTATTGGCATTAACTTTTTGTCATTTGAATTGTCTTGTACCTAAATTTCTTCTACATGTATCATTTGTCTGTCGACTTTCATTATGAGATTTTTGGTCACACAGATGTTTTATTGTTTTATGTAGCCAAATATGTTTACTTTTAAAAACTTCTATGTTTCTAGACTTAGTTAAGAATGATTCCTTTTTCCCTAACATATACATGTGTAGTTACAAAGATTTTCTTGAATTTTTTTTATTGTTTTACTTTTTCATTATATTTGAGAATTTACGGTCTCTAGACATGCTTTTTAATTTCAGTATGGAGTAAAATGAAGCAAAATTTTACTTTTTTCTTAGGTTATTAGGCAGTTGAGGACTTATTACATAATTTATTTCTTTCCTCTGAGATGGACTTTTCTCATGAATAAATACTCTTAAATACTAGCAACCTTTTCTGATCTCTCTATTTTGTTACATGGATCTATTTGTTTATTCCTATACCAAGCCTATATTTATTTGAGCAACATTAGCTTTTATATTTTATATACAATTTATATTTTATATTTTATTATTTTCTAATATCTGGAAAAAGAAATTTCTCCTCACCGGCATTTTCTTTTCACATTTTTCTTGGGTAGACTCAAGTATTTCTTCTTTGATATAAATTTGGTGATCATTTTGTCAATTCCCCCAAAACCCATTGAGATTCTTATTACAATTGCACTAAATTCGTATACTAGTTTTGGAGAAATTGTCATATCATGACATAAAATTTTACCATTCAAAATCTTGGTATGATTTGCATAGATCTCATCCTTCCAACTGATTATACAAATTTCTTCAGTTAAATGTTGTGTCTTTCATGTTAAAATTAATTGCAGCAGTAGTCTTCCATTTCTGAGAATATGGAATACATGTACTTTTCCCCATTCATCTCACTAAATATGGCAAAAACCTTGAACATTAAATGTAAAACAAACATAAGAATACATTAAAAGTTGGAAAGAAGGATGCAGACTGGCTAGGGACCTTGAGACCCAAAGAAAATGACATAGTGGTGATTTCTCTTCATTTTTTGTTTGTTTTTCTGCCTTATATATCCCAGACCAAGAGCTGAAGAAGCCAACAACCAGCAAACATTAAAGTGTGCTGACAAAAATGCCCCAGCAGAAGCCTACTCTCCCTACCCAAAGGACCAGGAAAGGGACAGCCAAGCTAGACAAAAAAGGTTCTAGACAATAATTACTCTAGCCAAACACCAGAGAAAAATATTGTGGCTCCACCCCTGCCCATGCCAGCAAAGACCAGGTGGGCAGGGGAGACTTCTACCCTCTCAAGGCTATAATAAGATGACCTAACACCCTAGCCAGGATGGTGTCAGAAAATGCTAAGTAGGGAGCTGGAGATTTCACCCCCACTGGCTGGTAAAAGCTCTCCAACTTGCATTGGGATTAAAGATCACATGGTAAATGTGGGCTTTCACTCCTAACAGGTAGTAACAAGGCATCCTTCCCCCACGTCGCTGGGGAGGTGTTAGAGGAGGCCTAGTACAGAGTCAGGACTTTAACCATTGCCCAGTAGTAATGAGGCCATCCCTACTATGGTGGCAGGGGAGACCAGCTAGGGAAATAGGACTCCCATTCCTGCCCAGCAGTAATAAGGAGCCTCAAGCTTTGGCTGTCAATGGAGGCCAGGTAGAGAATTTGGACTTCTATCTTCACCTGTAGTAATGAGGCAGTTCCCCTGCTTTCCCTACAAAAGCAGTGTCGAAAAAACAAACAAACAAACAAAAAAACAAAAAAAAAACAGCTAAACAGAAGATTTAAATAAGATCCAGAGTCTCAAAATACATACAAAAAAATGTCTAGGTTTAACTTGTCATACCAAAAGCCAGGATTATCTCAAACCAAATGAGAAAAGACAATGTATTCCAACACTAAGATGACAGAGATGTTAAAATTATCTGAGAAATATTTTAAAGCAGCCATAATTAAAGTGCTTCAAAGAGCAATTACTAATACACTTAAAAGAAAATAAAATGAAAACCTCAGCAAAGAAATAGAAGTATAAAAAAGAACCAAATTTAAATTTTAGAAATAAAGTATACAACAACTGGTATTAAAAAGCTCATGGATATGTTCAACAATAGAATGGAAGAGATAGAGGAAAGAATCAGTACATTGGAAGATAGAACAATAGAAATACCTAATCTGATCAACTGAGAAAAAAATAGATTGAAAACAATGAATAACACTTCAGAAACCTGTGGAACTATAAGATGGAATATTCGTGTTGTCATAGTCCAAGAAGGAAGGGATAAATAAGGCAGAACTAAAAAAGTACTTGAAGAACAATGGCAGAAAACTTACAAAATTTGACAAGATGTAAACCTACAGCTTCAACAAGATGAGTGAAACTTCAAGCAGGGTAAACCTAAGGAAATCCATGCCAAGATACATCATAATTAATCTTCTGAAAACTAAGGACAAAGAAAAAAATCTAAAACCAGGTAAAGAAAAATGACATTTTGCCTATAGGGTAAAAACAATTTGAATGACAGCAGATTTCTCATCAAAAGACATAGAAGAAAGAAGGAAGGGGCATAATATTTTTCCAGTTCTAAAAGAAAAGAACTATCAACTCAGAATCCTATACCCAGTGAAAATATCCTTCAGGGATGAAAGAGAAATCAAAACATTCTCAAATGAGAGAAAACTAAAAAAAAATTGTCACCAGCAAACCTACCCTAAAAGAATGGTGAGACAAAGTTCTTTAAATAGAAAGGAAATGATAAAAGAACATCGGAGCATCAAAAAAGGAAGGAAAGGCAGTACACAAAAATATAGAAAAATAATAGGCATTTTTTCTCCTCCTGAATTCTGCATTATGTTTGACAGTTGAGGCAAAAATTGTAACACTGTATGATGTGGTTCTTCAGTTTATGTAGAGAAAATATTTAAGACAATTCTATTATAAACAGGGATAATAAAAGGACATTGGGGAAAGTAAAGTTTCCATTATGTCACTTGATCTGGTAAAATGATGCTACTCATAAGTTAGGTATATACAATGTAATACCTAGAGCAACCACTAAAAATAATACTCAATGAGATGCACTAAAAAACGCTACATAAATCGAAATGAAATTTAAAAAAATGTTCAAGTAACCCATAGGATGGCAGGAAAAATAAAACAGAAAACAAACAAAAACAATAAAATGGTAGCCTTAAATTCTACCATATCGATAATTACAACAGATTTAAATGACTTAAATATACCAATTGAAAGACAAAGATTGAGAAGTTGGATTAATAAACACTACCCAGTTATATGCTCTCTATGAGAAACTTCAAGTATAAAAATACAGATAGGTGCTATAGTTTGAATGTGTCCCGCAAATGTCAGGTGTTAGAAATTTAATTTCCAAATTCATATACTAATTGAAGATGGGACTTTTGGGAGAGAATTAGAATTAGATAAGGTCACTCAGGTGAGGCCCCATGATGAGACTGGTGGCTTTGTAGGAAGAGTAAGAGAGACCTAAGCTAGTATAGTTGCTCTGTCTCAGCATGTGATGCCTCCCACAATGTCATGGCACAGCAGGAAGGCCCTCACCTGATGCTGGAGATATGCTCTTGGACTTTTAGCCTCCAAAACTGTGAACTAAATAAATTTCTGTTCATTAGAAATCACCCAGTCTCAGGTATTCTGTTACAACAAAGAAAATGGATTAAGATTGTAGGTTAAAAGTAAAAGGATGAAAAAGGATATATCATGCAAATATTAATCTAATGAAAGCAGACGTGCCTAAATTAATATCAAATACATTAAACTTCAGAGTAAAGAAAATTGCCAAAAAAGAGAGAAATCTTATATAATAATAAAAGTATGAATCCATTAAGAAGACATAACAATCTTAAATGTGTATACATGAAACAACAGTTTCAAATTACAATAAACAAAATCAGAAAGAATTGAAAGAAGTAATACACAAATTCACAATCAAAACTGGAGACTTCAGTACACCCCTCTCTCAGCAATTGATAAAACAACTAGACAGAAAATCAGCAAGAATATAGAACTCAAAAACATTATCAAGAAACAAAATCTTATTAAGTTATGGAGCACTTCACTCCAAACCAGCAACATGTACATTATTTGCAAATGCCCACAGGACATAATATTAAGATAGACTATATCTTGGGCCTCAAGGCAAACATCTACAAATTTAAAATAATTGAAATAATATTGGATGGATTCTGTAGCCATAATAGAATTGAACTAGAAATCAAGAGCAGAAACGTAACAGGAAAAATCTTCACTTGAAAAACAAGCAACAGACTTCTGCATAATCCATGGGTGAAGCTTGTATTATCCTGATCCAAAAACAGTCTCAAGGGAAATGTAAAAATACATTGAAGTGAATGAAAATGAAAATACAACATCAAAATCTGTGGCATGCAGTTAAAGAAGTGCTGAGTGCGCTTCTAATACATGAATGCACATATTAGAAAAGAGGAAAAACCTCAAATCAATAACCTAGAAAAATAACATCAAAGTAAATCAAAAGCAAGAAGAAAGAAGGAAATAATGAAGATAAGAGCAAAAATAAACAAAATTAAAAATAGAAAAACAACAGAGAAAGTCAGTGAGGCAAAGAATTGTTTGAAAAAATCAATAAAATTGGCAAATCCTGTAACAACTGGGAAATAAAAAAAGAGAGAAGACACAAGTTATCAAAATTAGGAATGAAACCAAGGATATTGCCACACATCCTGCAGACATCAAAAGGATAATAAGATAATAATACAAACAATTTTGCACACATAAATTTGACAATTTAGACAAAATGTCAGATTTATCAAAATTTGACATTTGGCATTTGACAATGTCACTTTATGAAAAACACAAACTGCAAAAATTAACCCAAAATGAAGTAGATAATTTGACTAGTCCTATAACAATTAAGGAAATTTAATTTGTTATTTAAAAGGAGATCTCCCATCCCAGATGGTTTCACTGGAGAATTCTACCCAATGTTTCAAGAAGAATTAATCCCAATTTACACAATCTCTTCTAGAAAATAAAAGAAAGGAACACTTCTAAATTTATTTTATAAAGCTTTTATAATCCTGATATCAAAACCAGACAAAAAAATTATTAAAAAAAAGACCAGTATTCCTCACGATATAGATGCAAAAATTCTTACCATTAGCAAATAGAATTCAGCATTATATAAAAAGAATTATACACTATGACTAAGTGGGGTTTATTCCAGGGATATAGGACTAGTTTAAAATTTAAAAACCAAAGATTGGTTTAA
Source organism: Homo sapiens (assembly GCF_000001405.40). Taxonomy (NCBI): domain Eukaryota; kingdom Metazoa; phylum Chordata; class Mammalia; order Primates; family Hominidae; genus Homo; species Homo sapiens. The sequence continues at coordinate 131,748,247 of NC_000003.12, read as the reverse complement.
AATTTGAAAACCAATCAATCTATTACATTGCCATAATATAGTAATTCATATAGTACCATATATAGTAGTAATCCATATAGTACCATAATATAGTAATCCTGTTAATATTACATTAATATTAACAGGCTACAAAAGAAAATCACATGATCATATTGATGCCAAAAAAGCATTTGAGAAAATTTAATATCCATCTATGACAAAAACTCCCAGAAAAATCAGGATAGAGGAGAACTTCCTCAGCTTGATAAAGAGCATCTACAGAGATCTTACAACTAATATTATACTTAATGGTAAAAAACTGAGTGCTTTCCTCCAAAATAGGCAACAAAGCAGGGTATCTGCTGTCACTACTCTTTTTCAATATTGTGCTAGAGTATCTAGCCAGAACAATAGTGTAAGAAAAGAAAATAAGCATAAAAATAGGAAAGTAAGAAATAAAACTGTTCCTATTTACATATGAAATGAATGTCTATATAGAAAATTCCAAAGAATCTACCAAAAAAATTCTAGAATGAGTAAGTGAGTTTCAGCAAAGTCAGTTGCATTTCTATACACCAACGATTAACATGTAGAAACCAGCTGGGCATGTGGTACATGCCTGCAATCCCAGCTACTTGGCAGGCTAAGGCAGGAGAATCACTTGAGCACAGGAGTTTGAGATCAGTCTGGGAAACGTAGTGAGACCCTGTCTCAAATTTTTTTTTTAAGTGGAAACCAAATTTTAAAATACTAAAGTGAAAACCAACACTTACAGTTGCTAAAAAACAAAAAACAAACAAAAAAAGTTCTTATCATATACAAAAATCAACTCAAAATGGACTAAAGACTTAAATGTAAGACCTGAAACTACAAAGCTACTAGAGGAAATCAAGGAAAAACTCCATTGCATCAGTATAGGAAAGAATTTTTGAATAAAACCTCAAAAGCACAGACAACAAAAGCAAAGATAGACAAATGGATTATATCAAACTAAAAAGCTTCTGCACAGCAAAATAATCAATCAACAGAACAAAGAGACAATCCATAGAATGGGAGAAAATAGTTGCAAACTATACATCTGATAAGGGGTTTAGATCCAAAATGTATAAAGAACTCAAACAACTCAACAACAAGAGAAAAAAAAAAAAAACATGATTTTAAAACAGAGGCAAAAGACCTAAATAGACATTTCTCAAGAGAAAACATACAAATGGCCAACAGATATATGAAAAAATATTCTACATCACTAATCATCAGGGAAATGCAAATCAAAACTAAAATAAGTTATCTACTCATTCCTGTTAGAATGGCTACTACCAAAAAATCAAGAGAAAATGAGTGTTTGTGAGGATGTGGAGGAAAGGAAACCCTTATACACTGCTGGTGAGAATGTAAGTTAATACAGCCATTATGGGAAATAGTTTAGAGGTTTCTTAAAAATTAAAAATAGAACTACAATATAACCCCACAATCCTATTGCTGGGCATATAACCAAAGGGAATAAAATCAGTATATCAAAGAGATATCTGCACTCCTATCTCTATTGCCATACTATTCACAGTAGCCAAGATATGGAATAAACCTAAATGTCCATCAACAGATGAATGGATAAAGAAAATATGCTATATATACACAATGGAATACTATTAAGCCATAAAAAGAATGAATTTCTGTCATTTGTGACAACATGGATGGAACTGGAAAACACTATGTTATGTGAAATAAGTCTGGCACAGAAAGACAGATACCACCTTATCTCACTCATATGTGAAATCTAATAAGTTGTTCTCATGGAGGTAGAGAGTAGAATTGTAGCTACCAGAGGATGGGGAGAAGAGGGGAGAGAAGGCCTTGGAGAGAGATTGTTCAGCAAGTACAAAGTTACAGATAGAATAAATAAGTTCTGCTGTTTTATTGTACGGTAGAATGACTAGAGTTGACAACAATGTATTGCATATTTCAAAATACCTAAGAGAGAGTGATTTTAATGTTCTAATTACAGGGAAATGATAAATGTTTAAGATGGTGGGCATGCTAATTACCATGGTTTGATTATCACACTATATATGTGAATCTAAACATCACGTTGTACCCCATAAATATGTACACTTATTATCTGTTGATGATAAATTTTTTAAAACCTGAAACACTAAGGCATAAATCTAAGAAAACATATACAGAACTTGAAGCTGAAAACTACATAATGTGAATGAAAGAAATGGAAGATCTAAGTAAATAGAGACACATGCCATGTTCGTGGATTAAAAGACTGAAAATAATAAAGATGTCAGTTCTCACCAAATTTATAAACAGGTTTAACATAATTTCTATAAAAATACCAGCAAGATATTTTTTAGATATAGACAAGGTTGTTCTAAATAACAAAAGAAGTAGAATAGCCAAAACAACTTTGTAAAAGAAGACTAAAGTGGAAAGAATTAGTTTGCTCTGTCTCAAGAATTACCATATAGCAACAGTAATCAAGACTGTGTGGAACTGGCAGAAGGGTATACCCATAGACCAATGTAACAGAACAACAGAGAAACCAGAAATATACCCACAGAATTACACCAAATTGATTTTTGACAAAGGTACAAAAGCAATCCAAAACTGGTACTGAAGCAGTTGGACATTTATAGACAAAGAAAAACCTTGATTTAAGTCCCATACATTATTAGGAAAAATAACCCAAAATGAATCACAGACTTAAATGTAAAGCATTAAACTATAAAACTTTCAGAAAAAAATAGGAGGAAATTTTGGGGCTTTAGGGTTAGGCAAAAAGTTCTTAGACTTGACACGTGCAGCATAATCCACAAAGGCAAAAATTGATAAATTAAAATTTCTCAAAATGTAAAGCTTTGGTCTGCAAAAGACCCTTTTACAAGGAGGAAAAGACAAACTACAGCCTATCAGAATATATTTACAGACCACATATGTAACAGTACTAGTGTCTTGAATATATTTAAAAATCTCAAAACTCAACAATAAACAAGCAATCCAATGTGCAAAAGACATGAAGAGACGTTTCATCAAAGAGGACATAAGACAGCAAGTAAGTACATGAAAAGGTGTTTGACATCATTAGGCTATTATGAAAATTAAAATTAAAACAACAACGAGATACTATTACATACCTGTTAGAATGGCTGAAATAATAAATAGTGATACAGCAAATGCTGTTGGAGATTTGGAGAAACTGAATCACTCATGCTTTGCTAATGGGAATGTAAATTGGTATAGCCATTCTTCAAAACAGCTTGTCAGTTTCTTTAAAAATTAACATGCAACTACCATACGACTCAGCAATTGCACACTTGGGCGTTTATCCCAAAGAAATTAAGATTTGTGATCACAAGAAAATCTGTAGACAAATGTTTATAACACCCCCCATCTGCAGTAGCCCAGAACTGGAAACAGATGTTCTTCAACAAGTGAGTGTTTAAACAAACTGTGGTACATCTATATCATGGAATTGTACTCAGCAGTAAAGAGGAACAAATTACTGATACACACAACAACCTGGATGAATCTTCAGAGAATTATGTTGAGTAATAAAAGCTAATCTGAAGAGCTTACATACTGTATGAGTCAATTTAAATAACATTCTTGAATTGACAAAATGATAGAAATAGAGAACACATTAATGGATGCCAGCAGTTTAGAAGTAGGTGAAGGCATAGAGAGAAGTGGTTGTCACTATAGAAGGGCAACATGAGGGATCCTTGTGGGGATGGAAATATTCTGTATCAGTGTCACTATCTTGGTATGATATTATGCTATAGCTTTGTAGGATGTTACCATCGGGGAAAACTGAATAAAGGGTACAAGGGGGTCTCTTTATTATTTCTTACAATTGAATGTGAATCTACAACTGACACAAAATAAAAAGTTTCACTAAAAAGTAAGTTTAGTTGCAAGATTTTAAAAAGTCTTTTATCACTGTTATAAGTAGATAGTTTCCTCTCTGAGTACTTATTATTAAAATAGAGAAAAACCAATCACTTTTTAATAAATTTCTATATTTTTTATTTTGTTTTCAGGCATCTTACCAAATCCTCTTATTAATACTGATAGACTTTATTTGAGTGTCTTGGTTCTTTATAAATATGCAATCATATAGTTAGTAAAAATAAAAGTCATTTTAGCTATTTTAAAAAATATATCTGCAAGTTTTTAAATTTTTCTTACATTGCATTCAAACAAATTTTCAAATAATATTAAAGGATAACAATAATGGAAATTTTTGTCTAATTACTGATTTTCATTATAATGCTTTTATTGTTTTTTTTTTTTTTTTTTTTTTGAGACGGAGTCTCGCTCTGTCGCCCAGGCTGGAGTGCAGTGGCGCGATCTCGGCTCACTGCAAGCTCCGCCTCCCGGGTTCACGCCATTCTCCTGCCTCAGCCTCCCGAGTAGCTGGGACTACAGGCGCCCGCTACCACGCCCGGCTAATTTTTTGTATTTTTAGTAGAGACGGGGTTTCACCGTGTGCTTTTATTGTTTTATTTATTATATTTAGATTTTATTTGCTTATAGTTACTTTAAATGGTTTCCAGCCCTTCCTATTTTACAGTATTGTTTTTAGCAACTATAAATATGATCATGTGTTTCCCTGTTTTAATGTATTGATGTGATTAATTACATTGATGAATTTCCTGATATTTAACTCTCTTTGCATCACTGGAATAAACTATTTGATCATAGTGTATTTTTGTGTGCACCACTGGATGCTTTTGCCAATGTTTTATTTAGAATTTTCACATTTACATTCTTAAATGAGGCTGGTGTGTACTTTTCTATTTTTCTACTTTTTTGGGTTTTGGTATTAAATTTATGCTTGTACCATGAAATTAATTGGTGAGCTGTCTAGCTTTCTGTGTGGCCTGGAGCAGCTGAAGTTACATTATAATTATCTATTTTGTAAAGGTTAGATAAATCTCAGCTGTGAACCCATCTGGTCCTAGTGCCCTTTTCAATGGTAGATCTAATCACCTTCACAGGCTGGTCTACAGTTGGTCTATTTAAGTTTCCCACTGCCTGTTAGATAACTTTGAGTCATTTATATTTTGCTAAAAAATTATTTCCCATTGGAAAAGAAACACATATGATATTATTTTAATCCTTCCTGAATCTGTCATTGTTCTTTTATCTATAATCAGACTGCTAGCTGTTGGTCTGTTTTATTTTATTAAAGAACCACCTCCTAAATTTACTTACTACTTCTAATATTTTTGTTTCTCTTCGATTTTGTTGATGTACACCTTTATCTTTATTAATTCATCCTCTAGTTTATTCTGATTTATTATTATTCTTGTTTATTAAGATGAATATTAAGTTTCTATATTTTTAGTCTTCCTTCTTTAGTAGTAAAGGCATTTAAGGCTATACTTTTCCCAAATAATAAAATTATCATTCCCATAGGTTTTGGTGGGAAGTGTTCTTTCAGTTGCTTTCTAAGGTGTTTGAAATATCTATTTTTATTTTTCCTTTAATACAAGGATCTCTAGGAATTTTGTTTTTAAATTTCAAAGTAAACAGGATTTTTGGTCACTTTTTAATTCTTTATTTTTATTTTTGTTGGCTTTTGTTCAGAGGATGTGTCTGGTTTTAACTTTATTGATTTTACTTATTGACTAATGATTAAGCCAATTTACATAAATGTTCCATATACATAAGAGAAAAAAGTGCAGTCTCCCACTCAATGAGGGTGTTTACATATATGTATACATGCAATTATATATACATATATATGTATGTATATGAATACACATACATGCACAAAAAGACTTACTATTAAGAATTGGCCCGTGCAACTATGGAAGCTGAGAAGTCCTAAGATCTGCAGTTGGCAGTTGGAGACCCAGGACAGCTGATGGTATACTTCCAATCCCAGTCTAAAGGCCTTAGAAAAAGGAGAGCCCACGGTATAAATTCCAGTCCAAGTCTTAGTCCAAAGCCAGGAGAAGACCGGTGTCCCAGATTGAAGACAGGCAGAGAGAGTAAATTTTCCCTTATCCAGCCTTATTGTTGTATTCAGGCCTTCAGTGAGTTGCATAAGGCCTGACCCCATTGGAGAAGGCAATTGGCTTTACTTAGTCTACAGATTCAAATGTTACTCTCATCCAGAAATACCTTCACGGACACATTCAGGATAATATTTAACCAAATATCTGGGCACTTTGTAGCCCAGTCAACTTGACACATAAAATTAACCATCACACCCCTCACAGTTGCAAGATGGGTGGCAAGATGGGAGCTTCAACTTCAAACATCACATCCTCACATGACAAAGACAATGTGAAAAAGAAGGGATAGAGGGCAAAGATGTTCATTCCTGCACATATCTTTTTATGGGGGAAGAACTCATATGTTTCCAATAATTATCTTCTCCAATTCCATTGGCCAGGATGGGAATGGGGTTACATGAGCAGGCTGTGGCTACAGGGGAGGCCAAGATAGTGAGCATCTGGCATTTTCAGCCTCTGCAGTAGGAGGCTGGCTCACTAGTAAGAAGAATGAGAGAAGAGCCTCAACTGTTTTGGCAAAGTTGCCCGCCAAACCTCTTTCCTGCTTTCATAGTCAGGCAAATCTTCCTCTAGTATTATAATTATAATTAAAGTACCAACTCTTTGCTGTGTCAAGGTGCTTTATGTGTTCCCTGTTTCAGTAACGTAAGATTTTTCAGAAAACTTATTTCCCTGACTTTTGCCTTTTACCTCATATGAGAACTTTGAAATACCTTGCCCCCAACCCTCACCCCACCCTATTCCATTCCATCAGTAGGTTTTTCTGAGATGGCTTATTATTTTTAATTCTAGACTGTTATGAGAATTCCCTTAACAGATTGGCCCTTCTATTTGAGAGTCCTTTCCCAGCACATTCTCAGACTGTCTAGCTTTATCTCATTAGGTATAAATGTGGACCTGATATGTCGTCAGTTCACACTGGTATACCTATCTTGGTTGTTTACAACAATCATCCATTCTGACTAACCCTGCATTTGCTCTGCTTGGATGATGCCTTTACTGAATCAGTTGTTAATATTTTAAATACTGTTGTCATTTACTTTACATTATGCCGGGATAAACAAACAGTGAACCAGAAATACAGTAGAATTTACATTATGTTAGACAGTAATAAGTGCTAAGGAGAAAAATTAAAGCAGCAAATGGAAATAGGAAATGTTAGAGGGAGATATTAATGTTACAGATAGGGTGCAAGAAAAAGCTTCAATGAGAAGACATTTAAGTACGGATCTGAAGGAAATAAGAGAAAGAGCCATGTGGATATTTAGAGGAAGAGCATTCTGGCAGAGTTGACAGCAAAGGCAAAGGCCCTGACACAAGAGTATGCCTAGGATGTTCAAAGGAACAGCAGAGAGGCCAGAGTGAAGGGTAGAGTGGTATTATATGAGATCAGAATGGTAATAAAGGAGTGTTTGTGGGCAGGGAGTCAGACTTTAAAGATTACAATGAAAAGTTTGAGTGAAATGGGGAGTTGTCGGAAGGTTTTAAGCAGAGGAATTGTATCATCTAACTTGAGTTTTAACACGATTACTCTAGCTTCTGCATTGAGACTAGTTTAAAGAGGACAGGGGAGGTGAAGGGGTACTAGCTAAGACAGTATCCTAATAATCCAAGAGAAGAGAGAATAGTGACTTGGCATGAAGTGGCAACAGTGGGGAAGGTGAGAAGCCGTGAGATCCGGTATCTATTTTAAAGGTAAGACAACAGGATTTGGTGGTGGGTTGGATATGGAAATGTGAGGAAAGGATGCATTTGGTATGACCCTAAGGTTTTCGCTTGAGCATCTAGAAGAACGGCATGGGAGGGAGGTAGTTATCAGGAACACTATAGGCATGTAAAGTTTGAGCTGCCTCAAAAGATGTTCAGGGGAGACATCTGGGCCTGAGATATCCATTCATATATTTTATTTAAAACTATGACAGTGTATAAGATGACCTAGGGAGCCAGTCTAGAGAATTAAGCCTTTGATCATGCCAATATGGACAGCTGAACACAGACATTTCCTTATACATAGATGAGGAGTTCCTGCCTGAGACAAGACCAAGAAATACCCAGCTGTACCAGTCACAGGCCAGCTCCATCTGAAGGCACAGTGACAGTTTGAGCCTTAGTGCCTTATATCCCATATCCCATTCCCATATTACCTTTATAAACTTCTTTCTTTCATCCATGAGGTCTAGTGAATGTTTTGTCTCAAGAAGCCAATTGGTTCTGTGGGTAAAAGATAAGAGGTATCTCTTCCCATTCTGTGCTTACTATTCTTGAAAAAGAATTAGGGCAAGTCGCTTTGACATTCATATATGGTACAGAGAGAGGTAACTGGGATATGATGGGGTTGGGGGAGCAAACAAAATACAACAAATAAAAACCTGGAACAGAAAAACTGGCTTTGTGTTCAGCATTGCCAGGAGCAAAATGTGTGAACTTAGACAAGTTACTAAACTTCCTCAAGTGTCAGGTTCCTCACCTATAAAGTAAAGATATTGATTGTATCTACCTTGTGATGCTTGTGGCATGTAAGTACAATAGCATGTAGTAGATGTTCAAGAAATGTCATCTTCTTTCCTTTACTGGCCATGGTGGCCAAGGAAAAGCCATTTAAATCCACAAAATAATCCTTAAATTTCCATGTTAGTTGTTTCTTCTCTACCAAACTGTCTACTTTCCTATAGTCACATTGTTTTAAGGTTACCCAGGATTTGTTTTAATCAGGTATGGTAAGACATGCAGACACAGAAATGACTGTCCTGAAAGAAGATGTTTATACTCACAGTTCCTTAGAAACAGGAAGCACAGCCACAGGGGGAAGCAGCAGCATGGGTCAGGAGGCAGAAGGACAGAGGGGAAAATGTACACGAGAGCCTTTTCTCTGTGAGCAAGAAGTGACAAGGCAGGGTAGGCAGGTGTAGGATTGACAGTTTAACTTCAGTAGCCTCTGAGGCAGAAGAACTGTCTCTAGCTGTACCTGGTGATTAGGGCAGGGGAATGGCCCAGTGTGTAAAAAGTGAATAAAAAAAGATGGTTAAAGGCAGGGGCTCTGGACTGGTTTGTTTGGCTCTGCAGGTGAGCTTTTACTGTCTCCAGGAATTAGCTAGCCTTGAGAGGACTGATCCCTCCAGGGTCAGCAAGTTTCCATGACTTCGAAGTATAAAAGTATAGAAAATAAAAAGCAGCCTGGCCAACATGGCGAAACCCTGTCTCTACTAAAAATACAAAAATTAGCCCTGTGTGGTGGCAGGCATCTGTAATCCCAACTTCTTGGGAGGCTGAGGCAGGAGAATCGCTTGACCCTGCAGGAAGGAGTTTGAAGTGACCTGAGATTGCACCACTGCACTCTAGCCTGGGCGACGAGAGCAAAACTCCATCTTAAGAAAAAAAAAAAAAAGAAAAAGAAAAAGACATGATGAATATGTACATATTATGTTTTGTTTGTGTTTGTGCATTTGCATTGAATCAAGAAAAATGATCTCACATTTGATTAAGCAAAATCAAGGAATTGCAAGTGAACCATGGATAATCCATAACCACTAAACATATCCCCTAGGTAATTAAAAACTATCCAGTCTCTGGCTATCAAAGCCAGAAAAAAACAAACAAACAAAAACGAACAAACAAAAAACCCACAAAACCAAAAACCCCATATTTAAAATCAGGTATAGAATTAGAATTTCAGGGTTGGAAGAAACCTTAAAAATGAGTTCATTCCCCCTCCCTTCCCCATCTGTTGCTTAAATTTCTTCTTCATGCCCATTAAGTGGTGTCTGGGTATTTCTGATTATATGAAAGGTCTTCCTTTATGGAGCCAAAATTTGCTTCCTTTGGTCGCCCACTGGTTAATTCTTGAAAGCCTGATGTCTTGCTGTACAAATACAAAAAACATTCAGCTCAGCTCCCAGCACAACTGCCAGATCAGATAAGATGTGTATAATGGGATTGCAGAACTGCTCTTACTATCACAATGAAGAGCCACTTGGATTTGTCACATGTGCTGTATATCTAAAGATGCTACTTACGATAATTTATTTTCTGTCTTTCTTTGAGCTGGGGCAGGAATGTCTCCACCACAAGGCACCACAGAGTGTGGCCAATAAACACTGCCACACAGAATATCTATCCTGTGCACTCAAGGATTTCAGCAGAATGAATGGTACCTTGAGTAACACATCTATTATAAACTGGACTCTATGCATTAGGATGGATGGAGATGTATCTAGCTTAATGCTGAATCCCTAGGGCCCAGTGCTGAAAAAATCATATGCACTCATTCAATCTTCCTTGAGTAAATAAGTAAATGCACGGAAATCAGTAAAAATTGCTAATTGGAATCATTTTGGAAGAATTTACTTTAGATGAATAAATAAGACATTTTAAAAGAAGGTTTTGGTTGCTATTTTTTTTTTAAAGTCCTCTAGGAGGATAAGTTTAAGCACTGAAATCATTGATGTTGTCACAAGAAAACAATATACCTTGGGTTACATTTCCTGAGCCCTCTAACCTGTTGAGCAAGGGGCCAGCATAGAAGGGCTATTATGTAGCTTCAAAAAGAGAATGAACATTGGGGACTTAGCACAGAGCTCATGATAAACGCTTGAAGTCCTCTATCTATTGTTGACTTGCTACTTCTTTAAGGTCCTGAGAGTGCCCAGCCCTGTGCTTGTAAAATGTAGGCATGCAATAAACATCAATCACTTGATCATTTTAATGATGCTGACAGTGATGATAGTGTGATGGGAAATTTCACCACTTAAGATTTGACTCCACTCACTAATAGTTCTTTCACCTTATGAAGGATCCAGCAATGTCATCCCTTCATTGTATCAACATAATTAATGACAAGTGAGTAGGAGTGATGCCAGAGTATTAGTGGGAGGTGGCTCTAAAAGAGACACGACACTCGAGACCATCCTGACCAACATGGTGAAACCCCATCTCCACTAAAAATACAAAAATTAGCCAGGTGTGGTAGCGAGTGCCTGTAGGTCCAGCTACTCAGGAGGCTGAGGCAGGAGAATTGCTTGAACTCGGGAGGCGGAGGTTAGAGTGAGCTGAGATCGTGCCACTGCACTCCAGCCTGGGTGACAGAGCGAGACTCCCTCTCAAAAAAAAAAAAAAAAAAAAAAAAAAGACACAATACTTCATAAAAAGAGGCACTGAATGTACTTAAAGACAGGGGAAGCAGAAATTTTAGAATGGAAAGGAGAAAAAGGAAGAGAAGGATTTTTAGCTCTTCTAATAAAGAAATTATCTTGTGACAGTCTTAGGGTAATTTCCATAATGATTCATTCAACCCAAGTGGTTGGTAGTGAATTGAAGATCTGTTGAGATTAATTTTCTGATTACCAATCCTGTTTATTTATCAGGAACAGAAATAGGAGAAAAAGTCTGCAATTGGAGAGCTTTGTGGTGTGTGGAGTAGCTTGAATCTTCTAGAGTAGAAAAGGAGTTGATATCATCTGTGATAGTCTAGAACATTCTAGTACTCAACCTATTGCAAGGTAGAGACAAGGCCCAGACAGCCATGGTTCAAGTAAAACAATGTGATCCCTAAACTCTGGGTGTCCACCCCACCATGCTTTCTCTCAACCCTTGTGTAAGCATCTTCAACTTTTTTTTTTTTTTTTTTTTTTTGAGACAGTCTTGCTCTGTAGCCAGTCTGGAGTGCAGTGGTGTGATCTCCGCTCAACCTCCGCCTCCCGGGTTCAAGTGATTCCCCTGCCTCAGCCTCCCGAGTAGCTGGGACTACAGGCATGCGCCACCATGCCCAGTTAATTTTTGTATTTTTAGTAGAGACGAGGTTTCACCATGCTGGCCAGCATGGTCTCAATCTCTTGACCTGGTGATCTGCCCACCTCAGCCTCCCAAAGTGCTGGGATTACAGGCGTGAGCCACCATGCCCAGACAGTAGCTTCAACTTTTACATTAACTGTAGTAGAATGTTGCAAACTCTTTGGTTTCAAGAGGAAGTCTTTTAGAAACTAGTAAAACAAAAAGTGATATATATGAAAATAGGGCAGAAGGAGTGGATGCCAGTCATTGGGCCACCGTGGAAAACAAGTCCAGGTATTAAGTTAATTACTGCCACATGGGCACTACCCTGGATTTGTCACTGGGCAGGGCCTGAGACTCATGCCTGAACAAAGCTGTGTGGCCCTACTTAACTGTGGAGAGAAGGCAGGGGGACCTGTGGCACATATTGAAATCTGCCCCAGGCTGTGAAGAAACCCAGCTATCTCTGCCACTCTAATTTCTGAGCTAGTTTCATGATGATAAGAATTTGTAGTAACTTGGATTTGGCTTCAGATAGAAGCTTAACATTTTAGGAGGAGGTAGGGGAGAGAAGTTGATCAAGAGAGACATCAGGG